>NC_000003.12:108554058-108857089 GCF_000001405.40 Homo sapiens
CTAATTTTTGTATTTTCAGTATTTACAGAGTTTCGCCATGTTGGCCACGCTGGTCTCAAACTCCTGACCTCATGCGCTCCACCCACCTCAGCCTCCCAAAGTGCTGGGATTATAGGCGTGAGCTACCATGCCCAGCCTTTAAAACAAAATTTCTAAGAACAGCAATTGCCTGTAACTTCCACCAAATACATATCTTATATCTAAAATAAGTGACAATTCTATTAATTTTATCAATAAAAAACAATGTTCTATATAAAGGGAATCATTTTGTTTTTGAAAAATCCCACATATTCAGAATATAGAACTAGAGATTTTACTTTTCATTTTGTTCCTTGAGTGACTCATTCAACTTTTTCACTGTCTCAATTTGTTTATTCAGAGAATCACATGTGATCTGTAAATCTTTATTCTTCTTTTCAGTACTTTCATTTCTGAAAAGACAAGAAAATGAGTTGGCATCATTATGGAGGAAAACATATGAAGGAGAAAAGAAGCTCACAGTGTTTTCTTTACTATCTCTTCTAACCAAATTGCATATGCTGGAAGAGAAGGAATGTTATGAACAAGCAGGACATAAACAGAATTTCATCTACTCTAAAAGGCAGTAAATACATGTTTTGGTTGACTGATGTGGTAAAAATTACTATGAAATAGAAATGTGTGGGGCATTAATCTCATATTTATGGATATAAAGCCTTATTTTACAGATGATATTGCATTACATAATTTGCTATAAATAAGTTTAGGGTTCTACATTTGTCTCTTTAAAACTCTGCATCTAATAGTCCTAAGTATTTTACCTGCAAGGTAAACACAGAAAAAAATCCTTTCTAAAGTAATACTTTGATACTCAACTACCATAAGCATAAAATGTCTTTTTTATTTCACTAAGCACAAAGATTTTTAAAAAGCAACCCAAAAACCAAACCAAAACAAACAAAAAAAACCAGTAGCCAAACTTGGCCAGCAGTTTTTGTATCTAATCCATACAGGAATTTTAACAATCTGAGTTTGAGTGCCTTTAGACAGTCCTGACCATTACAAATGACCTTTTCCCCAGCCAGCTTCATTTACATGTTATCCACTTGTCCATTCAAGGAATTTCACCTTCTAGCCCCTAAATCACTAGCTGGAACATAAGCAGGTCTTAGAAACCACGTATTTTTCTTGGACGCTGCCTATCTCTTAGGTTCTCTATGTGAGACAAAGCAGGTATCCCCTTTTTAGGAGGTCTGAGGACCTCAAGCTGGAAAATAAAGGAAAATCCTGAGTTCACTCAAGGGAAATTCCAGGGACCTAGATAGCCCTAGAAGTAAATAAGTAACTTGTTAAACAGGAAGGTAATAGTAGCCTAAATCAAAGTTAACAAACTTAAGAGTACCAGTGATACTTGATTCTTTATAGAACTTAAAGAAAACAACTTAACACATGTCCCTGAGTTGTATTTCAGAGACCCGGACCCTCATTGAGGAAGCCCACTGACCAGATCCATTGACAAGTAGAGCTCAGGTAAGGAGAAAATGAAGGCTGAATTTTAACCACTGTTCTTTGTTCTAAGTTTCTTTCTCAGGGTCTTGAACAAAGTCACTCTCCCTAGCTAGTTAACATTTTTCTACTGACCCCAAATGTTTAAACAAAGCTGCTCTTCCTTAACCAACTGCAAATCGAAAAATCTTTGGGTCTACCCATGACCTGTAAGCCCCTGCTTCACAATATCCTGTCCTTTAAACTTAAACCAATGTATAACCTTTAACTATTTATTTATGATTTTTGTCTGTAACTTCCACTTTCCTGAAATTTACTCGCCTTTAAAAATCCTTGCTTGCAAGCTATTGGGGAGGTCAGTATTTGAGCATTTGGCTGCCTGCTCCTCCTTACTTGGCACCCTGCAGTAAAAGCCTTTTTTTCTATCACTGCAAACCTTGGTGCAGATACCTGGTTTTACTGTATTGAGCAAATGGAACCCATTTCAGTTCTATAACGTATTTTCTTCACTGCTGACGTTCTCAACTTGGCTTATCACTAATACTACACTTTATCAGTGGTGCCTCAAACAATCAGACTTTGTAAAAAGTTGCTGGGGTAAATATCCTGTTAAAAAATCACTTTGTCATCATTTTCTAGATACTATTCATTTCTCACCCTTCATTATTATTGATGGGAAATAAGCATATGTACCATGCCAAGCTAAAAATTTCTATATCTCTGTATTAACAACATAGAACAATCTTAAAATATAAAGCAATAAACAAGTTCCCCCAGAGTGTATTTACTTTTATGGGTTGGTAGAAAATACATAATTGTTCCTGGTCTTCCCTGTAATTCAGAAGTTTTACAACTGGCCTAAAAAGATAAAAGAGTTTATAAGGGAGGAAAAACCAATCAAACTTTGCTAGTAGGCACACAAATTGGTACAGGTTGAGCAACACTAATTTGAAAATCCAAAATCAGTCTAAAATCAAAAGTGCTCCAAAATATTAAACTTTTTGAGTGCTACCATTGTGTTCAAAAAGGACACTCAATCTGTATCACATTTTGGAGGAAAATTTAGAAATATCTATCAAAATATTAAATATACATACCCTTTAACTTAGCAATTCACCTATGTGAACTTATTCTACAGATGTAATCACACATGGAAGTAAACTATAATCAAGGATATTAAGAGATGAGTTAAACACTTACACCTAAATTTCCATTCTATTAGGCAGAATGATATGAAATTGCCAATATTCAACTACTTTTGATCTGCAGAAATGACCATTCAACCTAATACTAATTTGACAACTAAGTTTATTTAAAAATTATTAATGAAGTGCCTAACTATGCAGCAAGCACTCCTACAGGCCCTAGGGATCTGTCAGTGATCAAAACAGACAAACTTGTCCTTGTGGAGCTTATCTCCCAAATGACTGCTGACTGTTATGAATACATAAAAGAAGTCAACTGGAAAGACCTGTATTTTGTTTCCAACATTGATACTGAGTTTGAGGAAGCAACACTTCATTTCACAATGACTTAAGTTTCTTGCTAATTACTTACCTCATGTGTTATCAGAATATATGAAATGCTTACAAAAGGATTTTCGGGTCTCAGAAAAGAAATGCTGCATGTTCATTCTAGGTTCTAACCTTACACAGAAGATTTTACTTTATTTACCTCTGAAGAAGTTCCATGTAGGATTTTGTCAGTATTTCATGTTCTTCAGCCACAGACTCTAACTTCCTATTATGTTGAAAGAGATGCTCAATATCACTCTGCGCTCTTTCTGATTCAACTTGCTGCGCCTTCAGCAACACACTAAGCTCTTCATTTTTTCTCTCAACTTCTCTCAACATACTAGCAAGTGTCCGTGCCTCAAAAAAAAAAAGAAGATAGACTTTACCACTATCATCTATATCATATGCTCAACACATACCTACAATTTAAAAGTTTACTAAGTATCTAATAAGCTGGTATCTGTTGGGTCATGCAAAGCTGTATTAGTCACATATACTTAGGACTTTACTTCTAATAAGTTGGATACTGTTATATTTTTTTAACTTAATACATTATCTGATAAAAACAATCTCACTATGATCAAATTAATGGAAATGGATACAACTGCAGCAACATGAAGGTCGCGCTACATACAGTATTCAATTAAAAAGGTATGGTCCTCAGAGGTAGCCATTAACACTAAACTGCTAAGTGTGCACACCATCAGCATTCTCATTTCAGGTGAGAATTAAGAACAAAATCTTAACGACATCACAGATGCTTAATCAAACACTTAAAATTAAGCTAGTATAATCAAAGAATGTAACCTATACCATAACCTGCATGTATTTATTATGTGATATGAAACACTAAAAAAGCAGAAAAGTCGCTAGAATAAAAAGTTGGTTCCCCCCAGCCCTTTGGATTTTATTTTACAATGCTAGACAAAACCCTAAGCCTTTCTCTGTTTTTACGACTTTGTGAAGAACCTGTATCCAGTTATTTAGTGCTATTTTTATAAGAACTTTTCCAGTAACATGAATAAAATATTAAACTCTCTAATAAAATACAAGACATGTCCAACAGACAGAAAATATAAGAATGTGCTATGGGGAGAGGGAAAAATTATTTTAATATCACTAATGTTCTTTCTTGTAATTTGTGACAAATTCAACATACCAGTTAAGACAAATGAAACCATGTTAAAATAAGCAAAAAAGAAAGAAATATGGGGGAAAAAAAGAATACCATTATTCTGAAGAGACTTAAGAGGCATTTTACTAGTCACTTATTTTGATGCATCTTTCAAAAGCCAGGAACACTTTATTATAATTCATTCATTATAAATAATATCAAGTTGTATAGATTCCATTTGTATCTGCTGGGAATTTCATATTACTGCAGTAAGTTCACTCTTAAGGTATACATTATATATGTACATAATACAATGCCAAATTTACTGAGCACCTATTATGTGCCAAGTGCTATGCTAGGGCCTGGAGCTATAGAAGCAGTCTTTGATACCATGAGTGAGGGAAAAAAGAATTTCCACGTGGTTTGAAAAATGTTATTAAGAGATAAGCGTAGGTTTGATACACAGAGGAAGGATCGTCAAACACGTGTGGGAAGGAGACCAGAGTAGGCTTCTGGGTAATGAGGATATTTTAACTGAAATCTGAAGGATTATGAGTTAGGCAGAAGAGAGGAAATGGTGTTCCAGACATGGAAAGTCAAGTGCCACGACAAGGAAATACGAGAATATGTCAAGTTTCAGAAAAAGCAAAGTGGCCTAACATGGCTGACTGCAAAGAATGCGCAGAAATGAAAGATGTGGATTGAGGCCTATATAGTTAGAATCCTTATATGCCAAACTAAAGAATTTTAATGATATTTGAAAGCAATAGCAGCTACTGTGAAAGATACTCAGCACAAGAGGGACAGGATCATTTTACTGCCTTAGAGATCCTTGGGGGAGCGGCTAGGTGAAGGGGGTAGAACCAAGGAAAGATGACTGGCTGTAGAGTATCTGAGAAGAGGGTAGAAGACTACAGGTAGGAAGACTAATTGCTCTGCTATGATTCATACAAAAAATGAAAAGGATCCAGCCTATAACAAATAGTGGTAGAAGCAGAGATAGGGCAGAAAAGAGTAATATTTAGAAGGTAGAATCAACTGGACTTGGTGAATAATTATAGGAGGTAAAAACTGTGATTTCCAGGGTTCTTATTTGTAGAACACTAAAAACAGAAGAGGGAATACATAAGAATAATTTTAAAAAGGGAAGGGTGATTAGTTCATTATTGGTTATGCTGAGTTTGTGGTATTTGCTGTATATTTAAATGGAGCAACATAGGCACATAGTGCTCAGGAAAATGATCTGTGCTTGACATATAAAATTAGGAACATTACTATTTTGGTAACCATTGAAACCACAGAACACATAACTAAAGGAAAAAGGTTTAGAATATAAGTCCCAGAGTCCCCAACACTTAAAGGTACAAAATAAATAACATAGGAAAATAATACAAGGTAGCAAAAAAAAATCAGGTAACGATGTAACCAAAATTAAAGAGGACAGAATTTCAGGAAGAAGGAAGGAGGCATGTCAAATGCTAAGGAGAATTTACTTCAATTAGAGTAACAAATACATAACTAATATTTTGCATGTTTTACTTATTAATTTTTCTACAAATCAGATGTGTCTTTATATTCTACACACCTCTGTTTCAGCTTGAGTTCTTTGACAGCGATGCTGAGCAATCAGTCTATCAGCCTGTGCAAGGGCTAGAGCTTTTGTTTCCAAAAGATCTTGTAGCCTGCTTTCTTTGGACTACAAGAAAACATATCATTAATTTTCATTTTAGGAATACATCTATTAAAGCTTATTACACATTGTTAAAATAAGCTTATACTCACAGCTAATGTGGATAGTTTCATTTCATATACATCCATTATGTCAGATATTCTCACATCACAAATCTGATCCTTTACCTACATTTTAAGAGTAAAAAAACTTAAAATTTTAATAAAATATTTTGACACAATGACAAAATAAATGCCTACTTCAAAACTAAATCATTAAAACTTAATGATGAGTAACAAAATAAAAACAAATGCTACATCAGGTAAGTCACAAATATTTCTTTTTTTTTTTTGAGATGGGTCTCACTGTCACCCAGGTTGGAGTGAAGTGGTATGATCTTGGCTCACTGCAACCTCTGCCTCCTGGGTTCAAGTGATTCTCCTGCCTCAGCCTTCAGAGTAGCTGAGACAACAGGCATGAGCCAACACGTCCAGCTAATTTTTTGTATTTTTAATAGAGACGGGGTTTCGCCATATTGCCCAAGCTGGTCTTGAACTCCTCAGCTCTGGCAATCTACCCTCCTTGGCCTCCCAAAATGCTGGGATTACAGGCGTAAGCCACCGCACCCGGCAAAATGTTGAAATTTTGACTGATTTTTCTTATTTCCAAATTTTCCAGAATATTGTTATTTCTTATATTAAGGTTTCAATAGTGAAATCTGTACCTGACAGTGTTTAGATACACGTTATAATTGGGACTGACATATAGCTAATATGTACCAGGTTATAATTGCTATTTTTTCACTCACCACCATTCCAGACTGAAGTTTCTCTATTAATTCTTCAATATTCAATCCAGGAACACCATCTTTCAAATGAGGAGTTAAACACTTTATTGATGTTGGAAAACTGTGATTTGATGATTGCCAGGGCATTTTTCTGGGTATATGTTCTGTTTCCTGTTGTCTATAGGCATTGTTTGCTGCTATACTTTCTCCAAGTCTGAATGGGAGTCAAAGAAAGGAAAAAAAAATTATACGAAAATAGAAGAAAAGGCAGACTTAGTGCAGAATTAGGGAATTTTTAAGAATGGGTCCTTTTTTTGAATAGAAGTCTTCAAATAATCTTGGAGACCATGATGAAATGAAGTCTTGGGAAATATTCTGAATTTTCCAGAGCACCCACTTTTCTGTTTCTAACCTTTTATAATGACAGCTTCACCTCTGGTTTGGAGGCATTGTAAGACTAGTTTATGAGTGTGGATTATCTGTAATAAGTACAAAGTTATTGGTACTGGTCAGAATAATGTTCTTATCATGGGTGATATCACCTGGCCTTTACGTCCTTAGTCCTTTTCCTTTCTCACTCAGTACATACTTTTCACCAACCTGACTTCCATTCTAACCCTTTAAAATCCTCTCTTTCTCCTACCTCAGGCCTTCATATGAGCTGTTCCTTTATCTGGAACACGCTTTCTACCACAAAACAAAATATTTTTTTCACTTATCTCTTAACTAAAGTGCAAACTGCAAGATGGCAGGCACTCAGCCTAATTTATTATAGGCTGGGCATGGTGGCTCACACCTGTAACCGCAGCACTTTGGGAGGATCACTTGAGTCCAAGAGTTCGAGACAAGCCTGGGCAACCTGGTGAGACCCCTCTATAAAAAAATAAATTAATTAAGCAGTTGTGGTGGCACAAGCCTGTGGTCCCCGCTACTCAGGGGGTTGAGTTGGGAATATCACTTGAGCCCCAGAGGTCGAAGCTGCAGTGAGTCATGATCACACCACTGCACCCCAGTCTGGGTGATAGAGTGAGACCCTGTCTCGAAAACAAACAAGTAAATACACACACACAAAAACCCTACCTACCAATGCATCCATAATATACATTCAGTTTATTAAACGCCCAAGATAATGTCAAATAAGGGCATTAAATAGTAAGCATAAAATGGACATCTGAGATAATGCCCAAAGAGAAAATTATTTACAACACAAATAAGACAGGGAATGCCAAGACACAGTCAAAATGGTGGGAAGGCCTCACACACAGAGGCAGAGGATAAGACTTCCATGTTCAGTGAGGCTGCAGATTCCCCTTTGAAGCTCTTAAGGTTTTGTTTCATGTCAGATTACCAGTTTATGCAAGCAGGCCATCACAAAATAGAGCAGCTTTACAGACCACTTTTAACTTGTAACTTGAAAAGCTTCCTGTGTATTTTTGTTGTTGCTGTTAAAAAAATATTTATTATAAAATTAAGGGAATTTTGGTTATATGTTCTCTAGGTCTTACATCCCATACTTTAACTCTTAAGGTATGATGACCTAAATTGCTAATTCTGAAAAGTGGAATCGCTAAATCAGTGAATAGCATATAGCATGGACCAGCACTTTTTCTTATAGGTCAAGATAGTAAGTATTTTAGACTCAAGGACCTATCTGGTCTCTGTCACAATTACTCAATTCTGCTTTTATAGAGTGAAAGCAACATAGACAGAGTATAAAAATGAGTGGGTGTGGCCATATTCCAATAAAACTATTTACAAAAACAGATGCCTGTCCACTGGCCAGTTTGCTGATCCCGGTATACAGGGAATATCTTACCTGTTTATCAACTACTTCAAATTATTCAAACCATTTTTACAAATTCATACATATAAATGACTTAAAAAAATTTTAAACCAGACTCCTAATAGACATTTAGTTCAGAGAGCCCTGAAATCTGAATTTTTTTTCAAACATAATTGCAAATATTCTTATTGCTTGAAAGTAACGAGTATAGTAGAAAATTTTGCCTGGTTGTCATTTTTCCACTTTCTGATAAAAGTTCAGATTTTTTTCTTTAGGAACTCTCCTATTCTCCTATCCCAACTAACTTTTAGTCCACATCGTTCTCATGGATAACCCAGGCCTGGTCAATGACTAATGCTTAGACCTTTTCCTTAAACAGTCAGGAAGGAAAAGCTCTTTCTATGGAGGAACTAAACTGGGAGGATGTAGGCTTAAGAGTGTCCAGAAGTTATCATTAAAAAGAAGTGGCTAGAGACATAGAGGGATAGTACCTGAAGAACATTTAACTGCCTGGATCTAGCTTTTCCCTGAGTGAGTATACATCTGAACTTTTCATTTATAAGAATCAAACATTTTTAGAAATCACTTGAAAAATTACTATTACAATGAAGTCTTCAATTCACTAATTTGCTTGTGTATCTATACTGAGGACTAAAGAGACATAGCAGGGTATTCCAACACCACAAGAGATACACTGCAAATGATTACAACTCACACTAAAGCAGGAAAATCTGGCAGTGGAGCAGCCTCCAATAATATTCTCAGTCCAGACTGTACTTGTTCTCTATTATCTGACGTTAAAGCAAAAGCCAAAGGAGTAATCAAACGTGGGTCCTAAATAAATCAGAAACCAAAAAAGAAGCAGCAGAAAGAATAAACAATGTCAGCTCTTTTAGATAGGAGGTGAGTAAATATATGTAAATCTTAATTCTAGGCAAATTCTAAAATGTTTCTAATGTTTGAATATATTATAGTCTATATAGTTTGAATATATTATACCTTGTTATAGCTGTTTACACTGCAATGCAATCAATATGAACAGTTTAAAAAAATCTGGCAAAGGTTTTGAATGCTTTCAAATGTGCCTATAAAAATTATGCCTTATATATTTTCGTGGATTAAAAAACCCACAACTGACTGATGTGTAGAATTAATGTTTTTTTCCAAGCTATCATTTAAAAGAAAAAAATGGCCAATCACTTCCAAATTAAGGCTATAAAATAAAAAGTAAAATTCAAATTAAATTAGAACATTTAAATTTAAAGATCGAAAAAATACAGTTACTTCAATCATTTATGTCAGTAAATATTTTACATTAGTATTGTAAGCCCCAAGTCATCAACATATATCTAAAATGTCTGGGACCAGAAGTGTTTCAAATTTCTGATTTTTTTCAGATTTTAGAATATTTACATGTACTTACTGGTTGGGCATCCCTAATCCAAAAACCCAAAATGCTTCAGTGAGCACTTCCTTTGAGTATCACCTTTGAGCCTCATTTTGGTACTTAAAACGTTTTGTTTTTTGGAGCATTTCAGATTTCAGATTTTCAAATTAGGGATGCTCAACCTGTATTATGAAAAACATCTTAAATAATGGACATAACATCAGTTTGACTCCTTTAAAAATACATTGAGATATTAGTGAAGAAAATATTAAAATATAAATCCCTTATAATTAAAATATTGAGTACCTTGTAGGTACTTGAGTATAATCCAGTGTCACAGAACTGTGATAAGAGCAGAGCTTTATCTCCAAAACCCTCAATGGTAAGCCTCATTATTTCCAGTTTGTAGTCGAGGAAATTGAAGTCGAGAGAGGTGAAATAACTTACTCAAGCCTGTACTAAGAACCAGTAGAGTCAACATTTGAACTCAGTCCCTTAATCTCAAAACATGCCAGTGGTCCCTGCCTAAGGTTTCAGTTTTGGCTTCTACACTGTCTATACAGTCACTAGAGATGTCTCTGTTAAGCTACTGCAGTAATTTAATTCACTCATTTTTGTTAAACATCTGTTGTAAAGGTAGGTGTTGTAGATATTATTACACAAAGTTTTTAAGAGGCTAATATTTTGGAGTAGTCTCCTCCACTATGCTTTAGCAGACCAGATCAAACCAGAAAGGAGTCACTTGGATGAGTGCCATGTAATCAAACTGCACTTTGAAATGGGCCAGTTTTCCAAAAAACCAGGAGATTTCAGTCAACCTGAGTTAGTATAATAAGGAAGCCCCCTTTATTATAATTCTATAGGAAAAGTAACTTTGAAATGACCAATCTGCTTTTAGTTCCCTATTTGTGCTTTCTTCAGCCCTTTTCTGGTCTATAAAGTCAACCTTCTCTGCTTAGCCCAGGGGAATGATTCATTCTATTTTATAGAATGAGGCTGCCAAATTCTAGAATCATAAATAAAAGCCAGTTAGAACTTTGAACTAAATTTGTTGTACTTTGCCTTTTGATAACAGCTAGAGATCATATTCAGCTACTATTATCATTGAAATTTGTGAGTTAGCTATTTTCTGCACAGCCCTTCTAATTATCACAATCCTTTTCTTCCAGCTGTCTCCCTATCCCCTTAATACCCTACATCAACCCTAACCAAAAACAAAAACCCTAAAACAAATATCACTCTTCCTCCAATGCCAACAGAAACAAATGAAGAAATATACAAATACAACACAAGAAAGGAAAAGGCTGAGGAAGCAGCACTATTGTGAACATTCTCTACATTAGTGTCATGAGCACTTATGTTCAATTCCTGTGAAAGTATATAAAATAACTGTGCAGTGAGACTATTATAACTGCTTAAGACAACAACTTTAAACTTTCTTCTCATTGCCAATTCTAAGAGAATTATCTTCTAAAGATTAAGAATATTAAAACAGAAACTTATATTAGGACCATTTATGTATGAATAAACTTCAATGTTTGAAGAGTTTAAACTCACCTGAAGTATTTTGTAGAAGCTTACTTCCATACCAGGAACCAATGGTTTAAGTTTGTTAATCAAATCAAGAGTTTTCAAAATTACATCAGCAGCAAGTTTGCTTTAAAGATAAATCACATTTAAATTAGATAACTGAAAAATTTCTTAGAGCTTGTTTCTGTCCAAAATTCTAAAGAAAATGAAAAAAACCAACACTTGTGTTTTTTAAATTCAAGATGATAAAGTCCTGTTTCTATTGAGAAGTAAAAATCTCAATCAACATTCTTATAACTCAAGATCCAAAGAGAACAAACTGGCATTAATAGCCTTAGTTTAGACAGTGTTTCTTTTACTACCAACCTGCTTCAACTTTCTGTTTCAAGTAAGTAGTAGTTTCGAAACACAGTTCATTTAATTCTTAGCTTTGTCACTAGAATATCAACAACAGACGGTAACCTTAGGCAATATAGAATATCTAATACGTAATGAATGAATTACACTAGGTCATGTTCTGAGTTTTGTACCTGAAAGTAGTATACAAATATAAAAACAGATAATTCTTACTCTAAAGGTCCACAATTACTGACAATTGTGACATCTGTGGAAACAGAAACAAATCATAGTGTCTACCACTCAGCAGGTCCTCAGTAAAGATTAGATGGACTTAATTCATGAGGAGGGAAGGGGTATAAAGTAATATCTTATTACCATCAGTGAAAATCCACCTTTAACCATAATTCCTGACCTGCCAAGGAAGGAGAGTTGTCTGTTATTAAAAAGCCTTTAGCAGTGACTGATTTCCTTGTAATAAAACTACTCTTCTGTTTTTTCATGCTTTTCATTTAAAAAAGTAAAATTGATTACTGAGGCAATGTCAAAAAGGAGCTCCAGAAATGTTCAGAACCCTTAGATAATTATAGTAAGTTAAAACAAGACAAAACAAACCTAAACAATAAAAAACAACAAATGTTAATACCTTTCTTCAAAAAGCACACAATCTACAAATTGAATGAATTTACAAAAAATTCATTATGAAAATATGTTTGTTAATCTGTTATATCTTAAGTTATAACCAAAGGATGGTCCTCCAAAAGGATGAGAATCACCACATCTTTCGATTTTTTACTGCCTTGCCATTTTGTCATTAGAGTTTATATACTCACCATAATTCAGAATCTGCAACCTTTGTTCCAAATCCCAGGTCAATCTTGCCATATGTAAATTGTTGTTCTATAAGAGTGGTACACTTGACAGTTGTCAAGATTTTTGCAATATGCATTTTTAGTGTATCATCTCCACAGAGAGGTTAAGTTTTGTTAAGATATACAACAAAAAAATTCTCACTTTATGTGTAAAAGATAACATTCAGGATGATTTCATACAAATTATATCATCACTGTCATCCAGTATAATTATTGTTAAATTAGCTCAATGACAAACAAGGAAACTGAAACTCACACAATTTAAATGACTAGCAAGTGGTAAGAGATGGACTGGCACCAAAGGTTTCTGACTCAATGGTTAAAACAGCGAGGATATCTTTCCATTGGATGTCTGTTTTTTGTTAGCAAGAATCTCAATGGTTCAATAAATATTTATTGAATAAGGGTAAGTTGTTTTGTCATATTTGTATATTATAAATTAATGTAAATAGCTATTATTTTAAAAGTTGTGGTCCAATTCAATGAGAAGGCCCCACTTTATTAATTATAAATATCTCCAAGGTCAAGCAATCATGTATCCCTACTGCAGTGGTTCTCAACTTTAGCTGCATGTTAGAATCAACCAGGTAGTTTAAACAATCACAAACAAAAAAGCCAACATGCAAACACACACCACCTAATGATTTCAGGGTTTCACATCACTCCAATTAAATTAGAAACTCTTGAAGTAAGGTTCTGGCATCGATTTTCTTTTTTTTTTTACATGTTCTCCAGGTGATTTTAGGTAGGAAATCAGGGTTGAAAGTCACTGCTTTAAAGGAAGAAAATTAAGGAGCAGTACCTTAGAAGAGGATATTAAACAGGGGTGGAGTTTGCTCTAGGACAGAGTAGAACATATTCTTGTTGCTCTGAGATACAAGGAAACCTGACTAGATACATTTAAGAGATCTGGTTGAGATACAGTGGCTCTTTGCTCATAGTAAAAAAGTATTAATGAAATATTTTAAAATTGGGACTTCCAGCAACTCAGAATTAGTTGGTCTATGAAAAAGTAAACACAAGGAAGACCTAGAAAATCAGTATATAGAAGTTAAGCAGTGAAACTAAAAGGTTTCTTTTTAAATGAATGAATTTGTGTTGATATACTTGTCTTTTCTTATAACCATTATTAAAGCAATTATGAAGGCTTTATTTTTAAAACATAAGGTAAAACAACTGAGCTAAAATCATGACAACTCTATCAGCATTTCTTTATCCACGAATACACATCACCAAAAAATGGCACTACTGATCGTCCGTCCAGGGGAAATAATTAGCATCAAGCAGAAAACAGTAACATGGAGTAACAGAATAGTCATTTTAGAATTTACCACCAAATGTCAAATTGTGATACAAGTGTCAAAATCAAGCTTAAACAGCATTTTAAAAAATGTACTTTAACTTAAAAGTTTCACACAGAAAAATAAGGAAAAAAAATCATGGATCTTTTTCACTCATTGAGAATTTTTTCTACAGTTCAAATTTTAGTTCAGTAATTCTAGATAAATATGAGCATAAAGTGACAAATTACAAATAAAGACAAAATGCAGTGAATGCAATACTAGAAAAAAAAGAATGGTTAGTTATACAGTTTTCACGTTAATGACAGTAAAGGATATTTAACAAAACTTCAATGGCCTTGGCAATCCTTTCACATTTTTTTCTTGTTAAAGCCTCATCTAGATTTTGTTCTGTGAACTGAAGTTGATCAAGGATTGTAGGCAGCAGAAGGGTCACAAAACGATCAGCCGAGGAACAGTTAGCAGCATCTATGACATCCTGGAGAATTATCCATCACAAATGATTAAAAGCAAAGATGGAATATACAATACAGAAAAAGTCATCACTGAATTGTAACACTCTCTTTAAATTTTTTATATTTCCTTCAATATGCCATTGACCTAAGTCTCCTGTGAATATTTAAATTTTTATTTAAAATTTATACTTCTAACCAGTTTTGAGGGCTATGGCTTTTTTCTCAAATTAGACAGTAAGGTTTTACAAATAAGACTTTTTTAAACAGACTTTGTGATTTAAAAATTATTCTAAACTAAAAGTATCTACTGAAAACAAATATCCTGAATCTGCTAAAAGTAATAACAATAATTAAATAATAGACATTGGTCTTAATAGTTTATGACCACAAATAATTTCCCTCAAGACCCTCAAAGGGCTTTTTAAATGTTAAAACTGATTGTTAAATAATCAAGACCAAGATAAAATAGAAAATTTTGTGAATAATTCTTAATGAACATATTTAATCACTTCATACACATATTTGTTTGTGTGTAAGACCCAGTTATGTGAAGGGAAATACTTTCAGGAGATATTGGGTTAGACAGAATGGATTTATAAACAGGGAGAATAGTAGAGAATATTAAATTGCCCAGATAGTAAGATCTACCAGAATGTGGAGTTTTGTCTGTATCTTAAGTGCCTAGCACATTATCTGGCATGCTCTACTCCATTTCACTGACTGAATCCAATATGCCTCTATTGTCCATTCAATGGCCTACTAAACTTGGTAGATGGCATCTATTGCAATGGAGAGACAATGTAACTATCCCCAGTAGTCAGGCAACAAATTATATAAATCTTTTTAATATCTTTACTTATTACACTGAAATGAGCACTATATATATATATACATACACACTACTCAGTGAAAAAAAAGGAAAACACTAATATATATGACTGGCAGAAAAAAACCTAGCGAGTCTAGTATGACTGTTAGTAATTGAGATGTTTTCCTCAAGTGTATGAACTGTAAGTTTACAAAGAATGTTTTTGAAGACAAATTGTTAACTGAGAGTCACAAAAGTAGAAAAGTCAATCTGTCAGTCATCCTATTACCTCAAATATTTCCTTGAACAACTCCAATGCTAAAACAGAACAGTTTTCTGATCCGTCCAAAGGTTGGCTTAACCAGCGCAGTAGAGCCACAGTAGGTTCTAAACATTTAGTATGGCTTCCCAGAGTGGCGCTGCCAGGTGGAGACTGTTCAAACATCATCTGAGTGAGCATATGGCGCAGCTGAGTCACTGAACAGAAGGCAAGAAGTAATTCTAAAACCTGTGCAATATAAAGTGTTCATTAAACATCAATTTCACAGAACTTTAATATACAAAGCAAGTGTATGATGAAGCTGAAAATGCTACATATTTTAAAGAAAATATTCTAAAACAAAACTTAAGTTTTTTCTTTCAATATTATTTTTCAAATGTGTGAATAGGTTCTAGAAGATTATAAAATAAACTTATTAATGGTGGTTACTCCTGATAAGCAGGACTGTGAGAACCTCAGAGGGAAGGTCAACTTCAGCCAACGTTAAACTCCTCCCACTCCTTCCATAGTACTTAAATTATTTTTAAACAGAAACCTGTTTTGTTTATAAATGACCAAAAAAACCCTAAAAAATAAAATTAGAATTAGTAATACTTGTTATAATCCTAAAATTCAATAACCGCTATAAAGGATACTGTAGCATAGAATATAAAACCTTCAGGATGGTTATTTCCACACTGTTTGCATACGGTTGGCATTATGACCCTTAGCTCTCCTACTGTACCCCATTTTTCCTCTACTTTATAAACTGGGCCTTATACCATAACATCCCCCATCAACCAGTTTATTAGATGTTAAGATAAATTCCACCTCATTTCACATACTACCAACTTATCACTAAAAAAAAAAAAATTTCTTAAGATCTCCTTGTCTCTCTATTTCCAACTTTTTAAAAGTCTGTTTCTTACAAATGATATATAATTGGGATTTGTGTTTTAATCAACTTGATAGTATCTGAATTTAAAAGAATCCAGTCCATTAGCATTTACTATAACAAATGATAATCTTTAATAAACTGTAGTACAGTCATGTGTCACTTAGTGATGCATATGTTGCTTAATGCATCATTAATTCCGTTGTGTGAACATCGTAAGAGTGTACTTACACAAACCTAGATGGTAGAGCCTACTACGTCCCTTTATTGCCCGTGGGCTACAAAACTGTACAGAATATTACTGTACTAAATACTGTAGGCAACTATAACACAATTGTAAGTACTTGTGTATCTAAACATAGAAAAATACAGTATAAAAGATCAAAAACGGTACACCTGTATAGGACACTTACCATAAACAAAACATGCAGGACTGGAAGTTGCTCTGGGTGAGTTAATGACTGAGTAGTGAGTGAATGTAAAGGCCTAGGACATTACTGTATATTGCTGTATATTTCATAAAGACTGTATGCTTAAGCTACACTATTTTTTAAAATTTCTCTAATAAATTAACCTTAGCTTAGCAGAACTTTTTAACTTTATAAACCTATCCATTTTTAAAGTTTTTGACTCTTTTGTAGTAAGAGAAACACACTGTACAGCTATACAAAAATACTTTATTTACATCTGTAGTCTATCAGTTTTTTCTATTTTTAAAATGTAGGCTTTTTCTTTTTAAACTTTTTTTGTTAAAAACAAAGACACAAACACAGACATTAGCCCAGGTCTACACAGGGCCAGGGTAATCAACACCACTTCCACCTCCACATGTTGTCCCACTGGAAGGTCTTCAGGGGCAGTAACACACAGGGAGCTGTCATCTCTAATAACAACAATACCTTCTTCTGGAATACCTCCTGAAAGACCTGCCTGGCTGTTTTACAGTTAACTTTTTTATAAGTAGAAGTACACTCTAAAATAACAAAGAATAAGTGGTAACACGTTTATCAAAATACTATGTACTGTATACAATCTTAATATGTGTTATAGTTTTATACAGCTGGCAGCTCAGTAGGTTTGTTTACACCAGCATCACCACAAACACATGTGATGCATTGCACCACCATGTTAGAATGGCCATAATGTCATAGGCAATAAGAAGTCTGTGTCTGTCATTGACTAAAATGTCATTATGTAATGCATGACTATATTTATTTTTGAATAGGTAATACATTCACATGGTTCAAAAGACAAACCCTGTAGGCAAGCAATGTTACCAATTGTTTGTGTATCTTACCATATGTCCGTTATAAACATAGAAGCAGATAGCTTTCCATGTACATTAGTTTTCTTTTAATGTACACATATAAAAGTAAAAAAACTAATTACTAGTGCAGAGCTAGATGACTTTCCCAAAATGAACATATTCCACTGTTAATGGCATTTGGGTTATCATTGTTAGCTATTAGGAGCAGTACTACATTTTGTACACATGTAAACAATTCTTTGGGATAAATACCTATAAGTGAGATTTCTGGGTCGTAGTTTATACATATGCCCAGTATTAATAGATACCAGTTTTCATAATTGGTTGTTCTGTAAGTACTAAATGAGAGTTAAAGTATGTTTGCTATTTTCCTTATTTTTCATTTTAATCAACTGGTGGGTGTCAGATGGTATGATACTACCATTTAAATCTGCATTTCCCTTAAGATTGATAAAGTGGTAAATCACTTCATGTTTATTGACCAATTCAACTTTTTTGCTCAAGTATCTGTTCGGCTCTGTGTTTTTTCGGATATATACATACAATGTAGAAAAATAATATATTTTGGATAAGAGTCCTTTGTTAGATATATGCATTGTAAATATCTATTCCCATTCTTTGACTTTTCATTCTTTTATTAGTGGTCTTTTCATAAATAGAAACTTAATTTTAATGTAGCCCAACTTATCGACTTTCTTACTGTATAGTTAGTGCTTTTGTTTCCTGTTTAAGAAAATCATTGTCTACCCCAAGGCCATGAAGATACTCTTTAGGTGTTTTTTCTAAAACGTTCCTTATTTTTACTCTTCACATTTAAATCTACAACCTGTCTTATACTGATTTTTGCATTTGGTATGAGGAAGGGGGTCAAATTTCAGTTTTTCCCCATATGTATATTCAATTGACCCAGCGTCATTTATTGAAATGACCATACTTTTAAGACTCTACTGTTGTCAATCTGAAGACCATATGCTGTGGGTTTGTTTCTGCTCCATTATGTTCCACTGGGCTGTCTATCATTATGACAAAATACTGCACTGTCTTTAGACTAATCCCCTAAGCACCTGACATTTAAAAAAATCAGTTAATAGCATCATTTAAAAACTTCATGTTCTATTTGTCACGAGAATATAAATAAAATATATATTTACTGATCTTGTATCCAGCCAACTTGTTAAATAGATTCACTTAATTTTAATAATAGATTTTAGATTTTCTATACTCTCACGTCATCTGAATAGTGAGTTTTATTTCTTCCTTTCCAATCTCTATATCTTTTTAATTTATCTTGCCTTATTAGGTTGGTTGGGACCACCAATACTAAGCTGAACATCACTGGTGATAATGAACATTCTTTTCTTATTCCTAATCTTGAGGAAAGCTTTCAATAATTTGCCATTTAAAAAGATAATGCAGTAGATTTTTGGTAATTACTCTATCAGGGAAAGGAAGTTACTGTTTATTCCTAGTGTGCTAATCTTTATCTTGAATAGGTATTAAATTTTATCAAATGCTATTCCACCTTTAATGAGATAATGTAATTTTTCTGCTTTTTTGTTAATGTGGGAAATTATATTAATTTCTAAATGTTAAACCATCTTTGCATTCCTGGAATAAACCTCATTTGGTAATAAGACATGATCCTTTTTATGTGTCACTGATTTTGATTTGCTACTGTTTTTAGAATTTTTGCAGTATGTTCATGAAAGATATTGAGCTATAATTTTCATTTGTTGTAGTATCCTTGTCAGGTTTTGCTATCAAGGTTATACTGGCCTTATAATCAAAGACACTATACGCTATTACATATTTAAAAAAAGACACTCAACTATATCTTCCCCACCAAGATGTATTTTGCTTTCACTTCTCCCCACTTCTATCATAACGCGAATTATTTTTTACTTTAAAAAATTAAGTTTTAAATTTTTATTTATTTTTATTTTTTTACTTTTCCATTCTCTTTCAGGTTTTGATACCCATAGAATGCTTCTACTCCCCTGTGCTACCTGACCTCCTAAATTCCCTGAGACAGTTTAATACCTTTAGATTCGAATACTAGATTTTTCCCTTGCTGTGTGTTTCTATTCCAAGAATCCTTATTTAGCACTTATATTACAGATTCCTAGTCACTTTCTTAAGATCCATTTAGATACTAATTAGAAATAGTTCTCATATTGCACATGAGAAAGGAATTTAGAAATTCTAGGGTTCGAAATAAAAAAGAAAATATTGTTAAGTAACAAACTTTGTACTGTTTCAACCTTTCTACCATCTTTTAGATCATTGTTGCAAATGATTAGTTCAAAGTCATTCTAATTTTTTTCTTCTGTAAAAACTTGTAAGGTAAAGGCTGACCTGGAAAAGTCGTACTTCACAACAGACACAAAAGTCACTTGTAGGAAGATTACAGATCTATATGTGAAAGTTAAAAAAAACTAGGAAGCTTTTAGAAAAAAACAATGGAGTCCATCTTTGTGACTTTGTAATAGGCCAAGAGTTCCCAAATGGAACACAATAAACACTAAATTGATCTATGTTAAAATCAAGGCACCATTAGGTGAGTAAAAAGGCAACTCACAGAATGGAAGAAAATATTTGCATGTTATATACCCATCAAAAGACTCCAGAATAACTCCTCCTACTTATAAGAGAAAGACAACGCATTAAACAAATGAGCAAGAGACATAAACAGACACGTCAAAGAACATACAAATGGCCAATGAATATGTAAAATGATATTTTTATTAATTAATAAAATATTAATTTAAATTATAATGCAATACTACTGTATAGACATTAGAATTGCTAAAATGAAAAAGTGAAAAATATCAACTGCTGGCAAGAATGCAGACTGACCAAATATTCATAAACTGGTCCAACTGACTTTTTTTGAAAACTGTTTCATAGTGACTACTGAACTTACGTATATCCTATGACACAGTGATTCCACTCCTAGATATAAAGCTAAAACAAGCTGTCCATAAGCTCACCAAAAGACATGCAGAAAATGGTAAATGCAGGTTTCTTTATAATAGCTGATGTTCATAAACAAAAGAACACCAATTGTGCTCCTTTCCTCCTGGGGCCCAGTGTGCAATGGCTGCAAACAGCTGCCTCCTTGGTAGTATACATGGCCTGTTGCTTGTATGGGTTGGCCTAAGAAACCTGAGAGACAGCCCTTTCCAATGTACATTCATGTCTCTGACCTCCTGCTGTCCCCCATCTAGGCTTCTGAGAGCTATTATGCAAGGTGTCTTTGGAAAGCCCCCAGGGCACCGTGACCAGGGTTCACAGTGGCCAAGTCATCATGTCCATCCACACAAATCTGCAAAATAAGGAGCATGCAACTAAGGCCCCATGCAGCGCCAAGTTCAAGGTCCCTGGCTGCCCAAAGACCCACATCTCAAAGTGGGGCTTTACCAAATTTAATGTGGATAAATGTGAAGACATGGCGGCTGAGAAGTGGCTCATCCCAGATGGTTGTGAGGTCAAAAACATCCACAAATGTGGCCCCCGGACAAGTGGTGAGCACTACATTCGTGAGGGTGTTCACTGTAATGTCCCCTTATTCATGCTCACCAATAAATCATACTCCCTTGTCCAAAAAAAGAATCAATCTAACAATCTACAACTATATGAAATATGAGTGAATCTCATCACATTATGTTGAACCAAAGAAAGTCTAGATAGAAAACGTATTATATGCTTTTATTTATACAAAGTTCCAAAATATATATGTACATGTGTATATACACACACACGTGTACGTACACACACGTGTACGTACACACACGTGCATGTACACACACGTGTATATATACATATACACACATGTGTATATATACATACACATATACATGTATGCGTGTATATATGTTCACATGTGTATGTATACATATACATGTATACATACACATACATATATACATATACATGTATACATGTGAGTATATATACACATATATGCACACATATGTATATATGTATATATACACATACATATATACACGTATATATACTCATATACATGTGTATATATACGTGTATATATACTCATATACATGTGTATATATACGTGTATATATACTCATATACATGTGTATATATACGTGTATATATACTCATATACATGTGTATATATACGTGTATATATACTCATATACATGAGTATATATACGTGTATATATACTCATATACATGTGTATATATACGTGTATATATACTCATATACATGTGTATATATACGTGTATATATACTCATATACATGTGTATATATACGTGTATATATACTCATATACATGTGTATATACGTGTATATATACTCATATACATGTGTATATACACGTATATATACTCATATACATGTGTATGAGTATATATACATATATACATATACGTATATATACATACATATACGTATATATACATATATGTGTATATATATGTGTACATATATATGTATGCTGTTAGAAGTCAGTATAGTGGTTATAGCAGTTTACCAAGCAGTCATCCTTGGTAAAGGTAAGGAATAGGAAGGGGTAGGTACTGACTAAAAGGGAGCACAAGAAGAGTTCTAGAATACTGGTAACATTCTACATCCTGATCTAGACACTGGCTACATAATTGTGTCCCTATTATAAAAATACAGAAATCTGTGCATTTGGATTTTTCTGTATTTTGCAGTTTTTTAAAAGTTTCGGCATTTTGCAGTTTTTAAAAGTTTAAATGAAAAGTCATGTTTTTACATACCTTTGAAGAGGAATCAGGATCCTTTCCATTAAGAAGACCTAATACTTGGTGAAGACATGAAGAAAAGTGCTCATATCTAGGTTTAGAATAAAAATATACATCAAATGATAAATATAAAATTGATACATCAAAAGGGATTTATCTACAAGATAAATATAAAATTTATGTGTATTTTCTTTCATCTATTTATTTGGGCTTCTAATATAGAACACACTCCTGTAAAGTTTATACTTAAAACATATGTCTTACAATTATGATATACATAAATTGGCTGTGTCATTTATTAAAACATAGTGATTCATGTGGCAATAAATAAATCATTAAATTTCTTTATCCACGAATACACATCACTATTAAAATTTTCAGTGTCTCAATTGCTCTATTTTTTTAAGATTGTGTTCACTTTGTAAAAATTCAAAGGACAGAAGAATATCCTAATACATTATACAGCTGCTTACTTATAAAGCACCTAAAATTACCAGGCATTAAATTTGTCTCTGCAAATAAAGAAGTAAGGGGCAGCAACCCGCGTTACACAACTCCAAGAGGTACTGTGGGACCCCTAGCATTATATTCTATGTGACTGATGTATCCTAGATTTGGGAGATGGTGCCCTGACAGGGAGTTCACAGTCTGAAGATGACAGAAAGAGATAATACAAGGTAATATAAAATACAATGCTATAATGGAGGAATGTAGGAGACACTATGGAACAAAGAATATTGTCTCAGTATTAAACCCAGACTCGAGTCTTAAAAACAAAAATAGAAGTTAGGCATATAAGAGAGAAAGTATTCTAGTCTTCCAGAGGGAACACTCTAGAGGAAATAGCACATGGATACATAAAAGGGCATTTCTAGTGAGCTGGAAGTTCTATTTATTGTCTGATATTAGACAAAAAAACAAAATGTGTGAAGAAATAAGGTTGAGAGGTTGTTAGGGATCAGATTTTGAAGGGCTATACTGAGAATCTGGATATTCACCTTGAATGCAATGGTAGGTCAAAGATTTTAAAAGGGATATCTGGTTGAAGAAAAAGTTTTGAGCATATTTGTAAGTTAAAGGGGAAGGGTCAACTGAATAGGAGGCCCCGAAGAGAGAGGAGCAACTGCTTCAGAAAAGACAAAATGAGGCAATACATAGAGTAATGGTACATATTTATGAGTGAAACTGGATGAAACTAAGTAAGAATTTGGTATAAACATAGGTACGTTTGTCCAGGGGCAAGGATTTCAGGGAGCTCCAATCAAATGGGGCTCCATTTAGATATTTATTTTCTGTGAAACAAAGATAAGGTCATCTTCTGCATAAAAGGTAGCAAGAGAAAAACAAAAAATTTCAAAGACCGGCCAGGCCAGCAGCTCATGCCTGTAATCCCAGCACTTTGGGAGGCTGAAGCGGGTGGATCGCTTGAGGTCAGGAGTTCAAGACCAGCCTGGCCAACACGGTGAAACCCGTTTTCTACTAAAAATACAAAAATTAGCTGGGCGTGGTGACGTGTGCCTGTAATCCCAGCTACTTGGGAGGCTGAGGCATGAGAATCACTTGAACCCAGGAGGCGGAGGTTGCAGTGAGCCAGGATCACACCACTGCACTCCAGCCTGGGCAATAGAGCGAGACTCTGTCTCTAAATAAATAAATAAATAAATATGAAAGATCCACTGTAGGAAATGAGAAAGCTGACAAGTAAATATAAGAGGTCTGGCCCAGGTAAAGTTGTGTGATTTTCTAAAGCTGTAATTAGTAACCATGCAGTTAAGTTAGACTTTGGAAGAGATTCAGGATTGGGTTATTGTTCAATGGCATACCAGAAAAACAAGAGGAATTGCCAGAGGTGATTCTGGGATTCTACGATAGAGTATAAAATAGATAATAGAACTGAGAGATTTACAGAATAAATGATTAAGCTACCTCTTATTAATGCTAAACTGGATTATCTTTTAGTCTTCCAGACGAGGTTTATTCAAAGGAATTTTTCTGTTTACTATGAAGATGCTGAATAAGCACTATCTGGTGGGTAGAATAGATATACATGGATATTGGGAGAATCTCACAACAGATGAAGAGAAGGCAGGTCATGGGAAGGCACTCTGGAAGAAAAAGCTCACCTATCTAGAGATTCTTAAGAGAAGAAAAAGTGAAATGCTAAAGTGAATACTTCTTGGTTTTGCAAAGTATCAGCTGAGCCATATGAACAATGGTCAAGTTTGCCCTAGTGCTTAGCTTTCATTAAAATAAAACTTATAGATTCTATGTTTCTTAAACATCAGGGACTGTGTCTTCAAATCCTATTGCTGCTAAGTGCCTGATCATAGGTGGGGTTCAGTAAATGTTTTCTTGTGTGTGAAACTCTTTGAAACAATTTCAATTATTTCCTAATTTAGGATGACAAAGCAGCATAGGCCCCAGCAAAATTTAAGTTAGAATGCACAAAGGCCACAAGCTTGTTGGAAAACAATTACTACCTGATCTCAAAACATAAATGATCATATGAAATACACTGAGATAGAAAGGACATATGTTCCTATTTTACCTATGAAAAGAGGCACACACCAAAGGAAACATTATCCATTTTTATACAAAAAATAAAGACACAAACATAATGACATCAATGTTTCAACACTGTTTCATTTATTTATAATTTATGTAGAAATATTTATTTTTATTGTTCCTATAATAAAAATACTCTTTCAAATAATCGTAATGCTACTTACGTTTTAAAACTGGTTTTAAAATAAATTAGCCAAGATGTCTATATTTTGGAGAATGGCACAACCCTATTGATCTAAAGCAAAGACTGAAATACACACATAGACAATGACCTGTTATACTTTCCATTTCAGTTCAGGAAAGAAAAAAGAGTGTGAGTAAAGCACATCAAAACATTTTAGTCTACTGTGAATCAGTAGAATCCAAGTTTATTATATTTTAAGAAGACAATTCTGTTTATAACCAACACATCTTGGTTTAAAAATAAAAAAGTTCTAAAATTGACTGAAGTGAGTCATACCTGGTGAGATAATCAGCAATTTTAGGATTCTTAAGGAGATCCATCAGTAGGTCAACTGAATACTTTCTAGTTAGAGTGCCATCACCGTTTATGAGAATATTAAATATTAGTTGAAAAGTCTGATGAATGTTTCGAGCATGGAATAGCTTAAGGACAAATTAGAAAAAGCATATTAGACAAAAAATTAAGTTGACACCATCCTAAAAGGTAAAAATAAAAAAGTCTCAATGACTTTTAAAATATCAGACTATAAACTTCAGAATAAATTTGAAAAATTGTATTTACCTTTTCCCCCACCTCTTCATTTAATGTCAAACTGGATAATATTGAAAGTGCAAACACAACCACAGTTAAACTACTATGGGCCAACAAGGTGATAAGAGTTCGATAAAAAGATTTCACATTACTCTGAGGAAAAAAAAGTTAAAAAATAAATTAGAATTATAAATTTTATGTTTTGGTTTAAAAAGTATATCTTGCACAGAGTGGGCAAACTTTTATTAAACATCATTATCAACTCTATTAAATGATTGTTGCATTTAAAAGATAAATGTTCTACAGGAGAAATTTAGATCAGAGATAAATTTAAATTCAAAAATTGTTATAAAGAGAGTACCTACAGAAAAAAATAATTTGGTAAATGCGTGCAAACGAGTTGGAGATAAATATTTCCAAAGTTTTGTCACCTTAGAATAAATAATTCAATGATGGTAAATCAGGGTGTCAATTCTAATAAAGGGACACATGCAGAGTGGAAACAAAAGAGCTACCTTAAATACTGCAGGATTTGTGTTAACAAAAGAACTGTAGCATTTGTTAGCATTTGTGTTAACAAAAGAACTGTAATGAGGAACTCTCATAATTGTGGTGGAAGCAAAAAAAATTCAGCAAATTTAAGAATTTGTTTTACGTTACACACCGTGGAGCAGCAATTAACTTTGCCATATTTGCTGATTAGCATTTAGATTTAAGAGATCACTGCATGTGTGAGCAAGATGGGTAGTTTCGTATATTGCTGACAGTCATATAGATAGCCACAATCTTGGTGAAGAGCAGTTTCTACACATGAAACTATGAGCAAATGTTTATTCTTCCTTATATTTAAGTGTTTCCTAAATATGAACATATGAACTTTTTTTTCAATTCAGAAATTGAAACACACACACACACACACACACACACACACACACACAGTTACTCCACCTCCAAAGTAAGACCAGGGCAGAAAAATGTAGCACTTGAACAAGTGAGATATTAAATTTAAAATCGAACGGGTAATGCTGAATAGCACAGCAGGGAAATTGTTCACCAAGCACCTTAAAGAATCAGTGACTTGCTTGATTTAATATACTTTGTTTTTTTTTTTAAGGATGGAGTCTTACTCTGTTGCCAGGCTGGAGGGCAGTGGCGCGATCTCAGCTCACTCCAACCTCCACCTCCCGGGTTCAAGCAATTCCCCTGCCTCAGCTTCCCAAGTAGCTGGGACTACAGGCGTGTGCCACCACGCCTGGCTAATTTTTTGTATTTTGGTAGAGACAGGGTTCACCATGTTGGCCGAGATGGTCTCCATCTCCTGACCTTGTGATCTGCCTGCCTTGGCCTCCAAAGTGCTGGGATTACAGGTGTGAGCCACCATGCCCAGCTGATTTAATATACTTCTAAAAGTGATTCAGTTAAATTCATTTGTGTGTCTTCATTTATCACAAGTACTGTTGGTTCATACTGAGCACTTAACTCATGAATCTTTCTGGTGGGGTTGCCATTGATTTTGTGGAAACACAAGACTGAGATAAATGGGACTGCCAGTGATGTGCCTCCCTTCTAAGAGCACAAAATAATTTAGTAATTCTTGTACTACTCAATGTAATAAATAATGGGATGCCATGCTGAGGAAAACTTTTAGAAATAAGTGTTTGCATTAACCCTTAACACACAGTCTTCAATACAACATACACGAAGGCTGAAGTGCTTCAAGTTATTTGTATGTCAATCTGACTCTTAATTTTGATGGGTCATCCGATAAGACACAGAATCCTTGTTCAAATTTGTTTTAAAGAAAAAGATAAATACAATTTTCTTTAAGCAGAGAATCTACCATAAAACAAGAAACATTAAAAAGAAATAAACTTCTTACCAATGTCTTTATGTGCGTTTGAACAGAAAGATTGTGCCGACAAAGATTTGCCAATAATCCTAGACAAGGCATTTTTAACTCATCTTCAGAAGATTGACTGTTGTTTTACATTGGTGTTTTGTTTAAAGAAAAAATAGTAAAAGAAAAAAAGCATTAACATTATTCTAAGTCAAAATGATATAGTTAAGTTTATACATTTCAATTCCCTTTTACACGCAAAAAAAAAAACTAATTAACATAAGAAGCCAGGGAAGCTTTGAATAGTATTGATCATTTATCTCATTTTAAAACCAAATTACCCTATTCAATTCCATCATGAAAACATGGAAGTAACTGTCAGCGTGGACCATGTGCTGTTTCATCAGTATATTTTCCTACAAGAATAACTACACAATTTTCAATTTCAGTAATTTTTTTCTGGCCAAATCAATTCAGTCCATAAATTTTTCTTATGAAAATTAAAGTTGCTTTACAATTTTTTTTTCCTTTTTACATTTTTTCACCAATGAATGAGGTCACATACTTTTACAACTTTTGATCCTTAAAATCATCTGGGCAGAACAAATAAGAATCGGAGTCTCACTCAGTTTATATGTTAGAAAATGTTATCTAAGAAAAATTAATCTACCACATGGTTGTAATTTAAAAATAAACAAATAAACTATTTGGTTTTATGTTTGATTGCATACTCACATGTGATCTATCAGGAACGTAATTAATTCATCTATATTGGCACCAGAATAGAAAATTTTGACATTATATGTTAACTTCTGTAGAAGTTGAATGCACTGAGAATAAGAAAATAGTTATAAATATAAAGATATAAAAACATTGCCTGCTTAAAATAATGGACTCTCAGGCACATTCTGAGCATGTCCTTTTCCATTTCCTAAAACAATTTTTTTAAAAAACACATGTAAAGTAATGTAAGAACCTTAGGGCTCTTCTCTCAATTCACACATTTCTACGTATTCTGTCTCAGAGCATGGTTATCAACCTTGTTCACTTAGTCATCTTAAACTTGAATGCAGTTTGAAACACACATGTAGTCCATCAATTAGAAGATACCCTTCTTCACATTTTATCACCTCTAAAACTGCATGTCAATTTAATTTGTGATGTTTTTCTTTCTTACAATTGATGACATTTTAGAGTCAATGAAATATGAAGAGCTTTGAATCTATATTAAATAGACTCTATCTACAGCTTTAATTTTTGTAGAACGTTTCCTCCACAGATTGAGACTAGATGCCAACTCACGTTACAATTTTAATATAAATAGCTTATGTCTCAAAACACAGACATCTGTGTTTATAAGTCAAAGCAGTTATAATGTAGATTTGTTTTTCTTCAATAGTGGTGATAGAAATGGATAAGCTTCTCTTCTCTAGAAACATTTAAATTGTATGTGTGCAACCAGCTTTTAATGAGATGAACTGTGCCTAATCATGTAGTATTTATTATATAGCATATATACACTGTAAGTCAGCAGTTTATGACAGAAACTATCAATTTTGATCTGACAGTAAGGAAAGGGGAATACACTGTGTGGGTCTGTATACCTGCAAAAACACCGAATCAGTGTGGCTGCTCCGACAAACCACTCCCGCCAGCACACTATTCAGATTATATGTATTCTGAAGACAATCTCTGGTTTCAATGTCTACTGCTATAAGTTAAAATAAAAGCACAAAATATATCATTTTCTTACAAGGTTTTGCAGATAATTCATACAGAATTTATTTCATATGAATTTATTATTAAAAAAGGTATGATATGGCTATTTTCTTATTTTCTTTATGATAACCCTCCAATTCAGAAATTCAAATGATTTCTCTATGTAAAATAAACTAGTATCAAAGAAAAAACTTGTTTACACATTTGTAGCAAGCTTTTTCTTTGATACTAATTATTTTAGTATCAAATTAAAATCATTTACTTTGAATATTAAAAGATTATCACTTTATGGTATATTTACACAATGGAATACTATTTGGCCATATAAAAGAATGCATGCCATTTGCAGCAACACGGATGGAACTGAAGGCCATTAGGTTAAGTGAAATAAGCCAGACACAGAAAGAAAAATATTGCATGTATTCATTCATGTGTAGGAGCTAAAAAAGTTGATCTCATGGAAGTGGAGAATGACAGTTACCAGAGGCTGGGAAGAATATGGGTGAGTGTGTGGTGATGGGAGGTGTGAGGGGGAGCCGTTAGTGGGGGAGATGAAGACAGATTGATTAATGGATATAAACACACAATCAGATGGAATAAGTTCTAATGTTTGATAGTAGAGTAAGGTGACTATAGTTAACAATGTATTGTATATTTCAAAATATGACTTGAAATGTTCTAAATACATAGAAATGATAAATCCTCATTTGTGATGGATATCCTAAATACCCTCAATTGATCATCACATACTTTATGCAGGTAACAAAATATCATATGTACCCCATAAGTTTGTATAAATATTATGTATCTGTGAAAAAATTAATTTAAAAAGATTATCATTTCAATTTTTCTGGAAACCTCAAATGCTTCTAAAGTATAAACACTGGAAGTGACTGGCATATTCATTCAAACTGTTGGTGGATGTTAGAAGTGGAAGAATCTTTTCAGAAAGCAATTTAGTAACGGTTATCAAATTTTAGAATGATCTAGAAATTCTAATGGAATTTATCTAATAGAAACACACTAATATTTGAGCAAAATTACATAGAATGTTCACTGCACTATTGATTCCAATAGCAAAAACTTAAAGACAGTTGACTGTCCACTATTAGGGGAATAGTTGAATAAATTACAGTACCCTGTAATTAAGGCACTAGGCAGCTATTAAAGATACTGATATGGAAAGAAACATCTGGTGCTCCACAACACCATTTGTGCTGAAAACAACCAATTAAAGATCCAAAAGTATTGTTTTGTTACAGCACAGAAAAATATCTGCAAAGAAACATACCAAACCATTAAATGAGATTATACCCTCAAAGCTGAAAAGATGAGGGCTGGTGGTAATGGGTACAGGCTCACCCCATTTTACTCTATGTCTGGGCTGTCTAATTTGGTAGCCACTAGCCTTCATGTGGCTATTTCAATTTAGATTAATTAAAATTAAAGATTCAGTTCCTTAGTCTATTACCCACACTTCGAATGCTTAATAGCTCCATGTGGCTAGTGGCTGCTACATTGGATAACACAGTTTTAAAACCATTCTGTCACTGAAGAAAGTTTTATTGGACAATGCTGCTCTGTGTTAATACTTCTGGATCACTAGAATTTTTTAAACTATGCATATATTACTATTATAATCACACAAAGAAATATCCCCACCGCCCTGCCCCAAATTGGAGTAGTGACCACTAAATGAACATTTAAGAACTAAAGAAATGGGGGAAAAGATAGAAAAAGCAACATCAGTACTTTTACCCTTTAGTTCTAAATTCAGTGTAATCTATTACAGAAGGATCATTCTTTGATCGGTAGCTATGACTTCCTCAGTGTCAAAAGATTCACAATGCACACTAGACTGAGAAGTCTTTGAAGGTGAATCATTCTTTAAGAGATTCTATAACTAAGCCTGCACTTTAAAATATTGTTCATACATCTTCCAAAAACTAAAAAGGAGAAATTAAATGCATTACCTAGTTGAGACAGCAAACCGATAATACTTAAGATCAGTGAAGCACTTATGTTGGGGTCTTCAAGTAGCTCTACAAGGCAACTCAAGCATTCACTTGTTAATATCTGATTTGATGTAAATAGTCGTGTGAGTTTCTGTCCAGAAATTACCTATAAAATAGTAATCAAAATGTGTTGGTTAAGCGATGGCAATTTTCATCTCTTCTCCATTTCAAATAAAAAACTCAGTTCCCTCAAAGTGCCACTGCTACCTTCCCAATTTAAAAAATTCACACATGCTGTGAAAAATTCACCCCTGCCTAGAGTACCCATCAATTACCTAATCCCTCCCTCCCTAGCTAAAGTAATCATTTGGATCTCAGTTTAAAATAATTTCCACCAGGAAGCTTTTCTTAGTTTCTTATACCATCTCAGTTCGGTCGGCCTATTATGCTATCCTATAGTACATTATATTTCTATTTCCTAAGTTAGCAAACTTTTGAGTTCCTAGCAATATTTCTCCTTCACACTACATTGAACATGCGATGAAGGCATAGCCTACAAATCTGCACTCTAGTACCAATATATTTACTATGCAAATAAATTCTAATACATTCTACTTACTTTGAGGGAGGAGAATGAAAAATGAAGCCCAGAGGGTAGTTATGGGATTATTCCTTCTGCTTCTTCCCAAAGACAATAGGTGAGCTCAGAAGTTAAGGGATTAAAGAAGGAAGTGAAAAGTGAATCTTTTTTTAAGTAGCCAGGCAAGGCATTGAAAAATTTTATTTCTGATTATTCCATTGTTTTTTTTACTTTCTTGTAATCTATAAGCCACATACACGCATGCACAGACACATACATACACACACACACACACAGAGTGAAAGAGAGAAGAGAGGAGGTAAAGCTGGAACTAAAGGCCAAAAGCAGTTGTCTCAAAGCATGAATTTTCAACATACTTTATGGATGTATTTATTACAAAGCATATCTTTTCTACAAAGATGGCAAAACCATTAGTTACCTTAGAATAAGACTAACTCTGTCCTGAATACTTATTTTAATAAGATCAAGCCTAAGCAGGCTGCTTTAGCATCCCTCTAATCTTTCCTTTCTGTATCCTCCCTTTATTCTCTCACCCACATCAGTTTTTCTTCTAAGGCTTTGCTGATAAGAGTTTCACATTATCTGTTCCCAAGGAGTGTTTTAACATTACTAAAGTAAAAGTCTATACAAGAAAAAATAAGTCCAAATATGAAAGTGCAGATGCCAGTAACAGATATTCTGGGGTAGGAAATACTGTGGGCATTACCCTGTTGCTTATTTATAAATCTAGCTCTCCAGAATAAGACACTTGCTGTTTTAAAAATGATTCTCTATAGGATTGGTCCTGTATCTCATTAACATAAATTGTCTAACATGTAATAATTATATGCACTAGGTAAAATAAAAATTGCTTTACAAGTTTTCCCTTTACTTATACTGAATCTCTTAAAACAAAGATAATTTATTTTAATAATAACTAATACTTATACAGCACTTACTCTGGCCTAGGCATCGATCTAGGCACTTTACATATGTGAACTCTTTTCATCTTCATAATAACTCTATAAGGTAGGTACCACTATTTTGTTTTGCAGATGAGTAAACTGAGGTACACACTGATAGTAAAGAAGCACAACTGGAATTCATATCTAGGCAGCTTGGTTCCTGAATTCATGCTTTTAATCACTACACAAAATTAGTGTTATGAAACATCATCATTAAAAATCAGATTAGCTCAGCTTTGCCAGTCATCAAACATTCAAAGCCTACACTCTGCATGGGGCTATAAAAGTGTGGGAGAAGTACAGAAGAATGAATAATCTCCTTTCACATGATACCCATCTCTCTTTGCATACTCAGATCTCGCTCTCATGAAGTCTGTACAAAGACATTCACCATTAAAAATACAAATACTGTCAACCAAAATGGTTAAAATTAAGAAATATGAAAACATCAAGGGTTGGTGTGGATAAGTGATGGTAAATTTCACATATTGCTAGTGGGAAGATAAAATGGCATATTTCAGAAAATTGTTTGGCAGTTTCAACTAAAACGGAACATATAGGCATATGTTCCAATGCTCTAACAATTCTACTCCTAAGTATATAAATGTGTGCATATATCCACAAAAAATGTATGTCTACAACAGCTTTATTCTTAATTCCACCCAGAAATGTAAACAACCCAAATGCCTATCAACAGGAAAGTGTATGTAAACTGTGGTACACTTATACAATAGAATTCTACACATCAATAATAAAAAAAATGAAGTAGCGGTACATGTGCAACATGAATTTCACAGATTTTATTGAGTGGAAAAGGCCAGACACAAGAGTACATATTGTATGAGTCTACTTACCCAAACCTTATGTGAAGAGGCAATGAAGAAACCCTATGGGGCTAGAAATGTTCTGTATCATGATACAGGTGGTAGCTACTCTACCTATATGTTAGCTACCAATATGGTAGCTATGGTACCTATATATTAAAAACTATCAAACTCTTCACTTAAGATTAATGCACTTTATGCTCTGTATGTATTTTATCTCTTAATTACAAAAAGTCCTTTTTAGTAGTAACCTGAAGCCAGTGCTCTTCATACCTTTGCAACAACGGTAGAAGAGTTTTATGTAAACCCCTTGAAAGTTTAGGAATACAGTAAAGACCCCATCCCATATTTTGTTTAAGTCTCTCTTTTTTTTTGTTTTGTTTTTGAGACGGAGTCTCACTCTGTCACCCATGTTGGAGTGCAGTGGAGCGATCTCTACTTATGCAACCTCAGCCTCCCGAGTTCAAGCGATTCTCCAGCCTCAGCCTCCCGAGTAGCTGGGACAACAGAGAGACGCCACGCCCAGGTAATTTTTGTATTTTTAGTAGAGACGGGGTTTCGCATGTTGGTCAGGCTGGTCTCAAACTCCCGACCTCAGGTGATCCGCTCGCCTCGGCCTCCCAAAGTGCTGGGATTACAGGTGTAAGCCCCTGTGCCTTAAATCTCTTTCAGTGCACAACCTTCCTGTTTATTCAAAGAAAGGTAATGCTTCAGAATAGCATACAAAATGCTTAACTCCCGATTTTTAAATTAAACGGACTGCCCTGCTTATTCTGCGGCTTCTGGAGCCTATGCTAATTCAGAAGCAAAGCCTTAAGCATTTAACAGCTAACACCTTAATTATTAGGTTTGCAGGCACTTCTTAAAATAAAGAATGAAAAAGAGAAAACAAATGTACTTAGGAGATGGGCACTTGAAGTAGGGAAAAGAGGAGCACCAGTGAAGCTCAAGATAAGACAGACACATTTAATACAACAGCAGCTTCACTAACAGCTGCTGTTGCTCTACTACTGGAAATCATTTTTTTCCTGTAATATTTTACAAATTTTTGGCACATTAGTCTTTTATCATAGGGTTAATATAATACAATATATTTTAAAATTATGTTCAATTCTACCTTAACAGAGGAAAGCTGTGACACAGAGAGTTAAAATAAGCCTTAATTGAGCTTTAAAAAAATTAAACTGAGGTCAATGTTAGTTTGAATTCCGTAAATGCAAAACAAATGAAAGCAGAAGATTAAGATCCTAAAACAAACGGAATCGTCTGGACACATATCACTAGAATAGAAAAAAAGGCAATTCAGCATTCTAAGATTAAAAAACTGTAAGCAATGTATTTTGGTAAAGAAAAAGGATTACGCTTACTAGGAAGGGGAAGTGCTTCTTAATGTTGAAATAATGTTTTTCAAGTTTGAGTTCAACCCGAGTTCAAGTAAGAGCAGTAAGCAACAAATTCAATTATAGATTACCGAAGGGCAAAACCAAGTTTTAATCATGACTTTCCGTCACTGAGAATAGTTGTGTATTGAGGGCTTGGTTTCGTAGAAAAACCAAAACTAGAAGCAAAGGAAAAGATAAAGTTCCGAGCTTTTTCCGTTACCTACTCGAAACAACCTGAACTTCCCAACCTTTTGCCCCACTCCCGCTTTTCCTAGAGCCTTCAGTGAGCGCTCTTGCCTCTCGCTGCGGCCAGCGGAACCCCGACACTCACTAGCCTTTACCAGTACGAAAAGACAACAGAGGGATCGAAGGACTGTCCTTTCTTTCCCAGGCTGGGGCCGCCACTCCTCGGCCTCACTGTGAAATAAGAATTGCTAGGGGAAGCCCCATCTGTCCTCTACCCCAGAGCCTCTCACCTCCAAGTGCCGCAAAAGCTGAGTGGCGTTCGCCTCTGACTTCACGGCTTTGTACTGACTGACAGTCAGGAGCAAGGACTTCAAGCAGGCAGTGGAGTCCATTGCACCGGCCGCGGCCCGGCTTAGGGACCACCACCGCCCAGCGTGCGCCGGCCTTTAGCTTTCGCCGCGCTTTTTTTGATTTTCGGCCCCACCCCCTCGCTCTCAGAAGCTTCCGGATCCGGTCGGGCTCCGGAAGTCCCTAGGCACCCTAGGGGACCGTTCTCGGTGACGGCCGGGGTGGGCCAGGGGTCGAGGTGATTTGTGGGTCCAGGACGGGGGTTGGGAGCTGCCCCCGCTAACCCACCCTCGTCTGAGAGGCCGCGAGGTTTCGGCCTGAGATCCCGTGAAGGCGAGAAATCTCGCGATTTCTCGGGAGAGGAATCGGTTAGGAGAAGGGGGATTCCTCACTCAGCTGTGCGCTCTGATTTCGTGCGCTTCCTCGTCCTTCATGTTGGATGGCCAGTTTTTCGTTTGTGCGTCATCCTCTACCTGAGAAATGGTCGCTTGCCCCTAGTCTAGACACGGTGAGGAGCTCTGAGGAGAAGAATCTTGGGCCCTAGATTTTGAGGCGGCCTGGGAGGGGCCTCGTTTTTAAATCTCTCCTACACCCGCCCCTTCTGCCCGGGGATGGTAGTTTCTCAGAGTCAACCTATTGGCATTATGTGGCAAATTAGTCATGCCCTGACCAAAGTATTTGTCACATTTATTCGAGAAGACTACCTCCTGCTGACCCTGGGCCAGGTATTGCTCCGGAGGGTGTTACTCGTTAGCGTCAGTTTTTGTAAGTGAAGGTGTCTGTTTCTCTCTGGCATGATTGATTGTTTTATAATTCTCGATGTCTACGAAAATGGCACTATTATTTGCGTTTTTTAAATCGGAGATAGCTTAATATTATTGCATGTGTATGTAATGAAGCGAGTCAGTTACTGGTTTTGGAGCTTTTTGCTTAATATTTCCTAACGTCGAATAAAGCTTTAAAAACCAGGATGTAGAAATTGTAAGAATAGGGTACATTTCCATTTAATTAAATCGTTTATCAGAAATCATGTTTTTTCACTTCAAAAGAATTTTTTTGAATTACTAGATTTTTGAAGACAGGTTTGGTGTTTTGGTTTTGTTTTTTATAAAAGTTTAAATCTGAAAGATAAAAATGATTTAACCAGTTGGGACATTCATGTAAAAATCTTTGGGTAGCTTGTGTGTTCATTTATGCTTTCATTCATTCCGTAAACAATTATAGAGCGTGTAACATGGGTTAGAAACTGCCAGTCAGGGAACAGAGATGAAGTAGTATCCCCTGCTGCGAGGGAACTGTCTAGTAAGGGAAACATACAAAATAGTACTTTTGAAATTCACCACATAAATGAGAGGCACCATGCAGTAACATGCAGCAGTGGTAAAGAGTAGAGAGCCAGGTTGCTTACAGATTCTAGCTCCACCTTTGACGATGTGACTCTAGGCAAGTTCTCACTGCTGCAGAATCTTCATTAGGTAAAATCTGGCCAAGGGAGATACCTGGTTCATAGGACTGTTCATTCAATAAGTAGTTCATTGAGAATCTACAATGTGCTAAGCACTTTTCTAGACACAATAGACTCAGTGAAAAAAACAAAAATACTACTGGCATGCAACTTACATTTTGGTAGGGAACCAAATAATAAACACAATAAATAAGTAAGGAAAATGATATAAAGAGAAAAATAGACGTTATTACTCTAGAATAATGTTGGTAATTGATAAGGGAAATGGGAAGGTGACCTCATTAAGAAAGCAACATTTGGGGAAATGCTTCAAGGAGTTGAGAAAGGGAGCCATATTCTATGGGAAAAGGTTTTTAGATAGAGGAAATGGCAAAGAAAGACCCTAAAGTGGGATACTGTATGCCAGAAACAAGGATGCCATGTGGCTAGTGTAGAAAGAACGAGGAGGAGAGGAGTAGAGATGAGGTCCTATACGGTCTTGGAGATGGTTAAAAAATGAATTAATGTAAAGTGTCAGCTGTCATCTGGCATAATTAAGTTCTCAGTGTTACAGTCAGTGCCTCATTGGCAAATGAAGTGATCAGAGTTTGATAGTGTTGGACTTTTCATCTGTGATGATGTGTCAGCATCGTCCCCATTCAGAGGCCCAGGGTAATGCGCAAAGCTGCGTGCTATCAGTGCCATCTTTGTTGGATTTTGACTTAAGCAGTCATACAAATTTTGTATTCTCTTCTGTAATTAATATCAAATGTCTTTCTCAAAAAATCTTCACCAAAATTGATGTTGTAAGTTTAGTAAGAGGGATCGTTTCTAGCTGTGATAAGTCTTGACATTTTTAATCAGAGATACTTGCATATCCTAATTTGAGAAACACCAATCCATACTTTTAGGCCTCAAAAAGGGAAGAAAAGGAGCAGGAGGCCAGGAGCAGTGGCTCACGCTTTTAATTTCCAGTTTTTTGGGAGACTAAGGCAGGAGGACCTTGAACCCAGGAGTTGGAGCCAGCCTAGGCAACATAGTGAAACGCCATCTCTACAAAAAATGAAAAAATTAGCCGGGCATGGGTGTGCTCACTTGTAGTCCTAGCTACTCTGGAGGCTGAGTTGGGGGGATCACTTGAGGCTGCAGTGAGTGTGATTGTGCCACTGCACTGTAGCCTGGGTGGCAGAGTGAGACCCTGTCAAAAAAAAAAAAAAAAAAAGAGATGAGTCTGGGTCCCAATGACCAAAGGCCTTATTAGCCTTAAACTTGGACTCCATCTTGAAGTCCGTGGCAATCTCTGGTTTTAAACTGGCACCTGGTCTAGTCAGGTTTGTTTTTAGATTGATTACTCTGGTAGCTGAATGAACTATGATTTTGGGGAGGATAAGACTGGAAAGAGGGACACTAATTTTCTGGAACCTTCTAAAGGATAACCAGGATAATTGAGGTGGAGATACAAAATAGGTGACAAATTCGAGAAGTATATATGAAGTAAAATAGGTAGGATTTGGTGACTGATAGTGGATGTGAGGCATGAAGAGAGGGATGAGTCTAGCAGATACTAAGTTTTTAGGTTGGATGAATGAGAAGATACAGATACTGCTGAGTTAGTTAATAGAAAGTATTAAGGGTGTGCCAGGCGTAGTGGCTCATGCCTTTTATTCCAGCACTTTGGGAGGCTGAGGCAGGAGGATCTCTTGAACCCAGGAGTTCAAGACCAGCTTGGGCAATATGGTGAAACCCCACCTCTACTAAAAATACAGAAAATTAGATGGGTGTGGGTGGTGCATGCCTGTAGTCCCAGCTACTCAGGAGGCTGTCATGGGAGGAACACCTGAACCTGGGAAGTCAAGGCTGCAGTAAGCCATGTTTGCCCCACTGCACTCCAGCCTGGGCAATGTGGGCAACAGGAGGGAGACCCTGTCTCAAAAAAAAAAAAAAAAAAAAGTATTCAGGTTATATTTTATGTTCAGTGAGATTTTATATAGTTTGTCATACTGTCTTGTTCCATTCTTATTATGTTTATTTATCATTACGTTTATTCTAATAGAGATTGGTTTACTTAGACTTTCTGCCTATATATCATCTGCAAATAATTACCTCACCCCTTCCAGTATTTGTTGTCTTACATTATTGCATTAGTGTAAGCTCCAAAATATGGAAAATCATGTTAACTTTGAACAGCTTTTTTACATAATTTAATGAGAATGAACAGTGTTTTAACACAGTATAATTTGTGCTATTGGCTTTTGATATTCATCATGTTTAAGAGATTGGCTTTTATATCTGTTTCATTCTAAAAAATGTCTGCCAAAAATTATCCAGTTTTCACATTTATATATTTTATTTTTCACTTTAAAATTATAACACAGTGGATTATGTTGCCTTTTTGTTCTTGGGATAATAATAGTTTACACTTATTGAGCATTTGCCATGTGCCAAGCACTGTCCTAAGGACTTTCTACTTACCTATCTAATCTTTATAACAACCCCATGCTGTAGGAACTATTATGATTTCCATTCTAGAGATGAAAAAACTAAGATAGGAAGGGGAAGTAATTTGCCCAAGGTCACGTAGACAGTAGTAACAATCCTATGTTTTTCTTTGCTTCAGGTTTTGATTTGCTGGTATTTTATTCAGGATTTTATTATATACCTGTTCATAAGTGAGCATTTTCAGTAATATTTTTCTTTATTCTCACATCAAATTTGAATTATATGTTACCATTGAAAAAGAAATTGGAAGTGTTTCATCTTTTTTTATGCTATGGGATAATAAGAATCATAGAAATTATCTGATCCTTGTAGGCTGTACACAGCTGTCTTGTAAAATCATTAAGCTTGATAGCTTATTTAGTGGTAGATGGTAGAAATTTAGCAAATATTTGAATTTCTTTCTTTTTTTTTTTTTTTTTTTAATATGGTTTCACTCTGTTGCCCAGGCTGGAGTGCAGTGGCATGATCACGGCTCATTGCAGCCTTGACCTCCCCGGGCTTATCTTCCCACCTCATCCTCCCTGGGAACACAGGCATGCCCCGCTATGCCAGGATAATTTTTCTATTTTTTGTAGAGATGGGGTTTCACCATGTTGCGCACGCTGGTCTCGAACTCCTGGTCTCGAGTGATCCGCTCGCCTCAGCTTCCTAAAGTCCTGGGATTATAGGCATGAGCTAACATGCCTGAGCTTGAATTTCTAGTATAGTTACGGATCTGATCATTTATTCTGCCTTTCCTTAATTGTAGATATAGAGCTTTTTAGCATAATAATTGCTTCTCTATATTAAAAATTTACCGATAAAAAGTTGCATTCAGCATTCCAGTAATTCTCTTAATCTCTTAGTAGTTTTAAATTTCCATTTTCATTCTAATGTTATCTATATTTTTTTCTTAGTTGGGCTTTCCAAGGGTTTGTCCATTTTATTCAGCTTTTCAAGAACCAACTTTCATTTTATTAATTCTCATTTTTCTTTGATTTCAGAATCACCACTGTTGTCTTTATTAATTTCATCCGTATACATTCATCTTTTATTTACTTTGTTGTTTTTCTAGGTTTTTAAAAGTTGAAGTCTTAGTACACCTAGGTTTTTAAAAGTTGAAGTCTTAGGACATCTCTCTCTCTCTCTCTCCCCCCTCCCCTCCCCCCTCCCTCCCTGCTCCCCCCCCATATATATATAACTTTCAAGTTTGGGGTACATGTGCAGGTTTGTTACATAGGTAAACTTGTGTCATGGGAGTTTGTTGTACAGATGACTTCATCACCCAGGTTTTAAGCCTAGTACCTGTTAGTTATTTTTCCTAATCCTCTTCCTCCTCCCACCCTCTGCCCTCCGATAGTGCCCAATGTGTGTTGTTCCCCTGTATGTGTCTATGTGTTCTTTCCGTTTTGCTCCCATTTATGAGTAAGAATATGCGGTATTTGATTTTCTTGCATTAATTTGCTAAGGATAATGGCCTTCAGATCCACGCATGTTCCTGAAAAGGACATGATCTCGTTCTTTTTTATGGCTGCATTCCTTAGTATATTTTTAAATAAAAATCATTTATTTTATGCCATGTATTTTATATTTTGGTTTTGTTTTGTGTTTTTTTCTTCACAGCAGAAAGTAAAGGCTAATAGACCAAAAACTTTTAAAAAGACAGTAGCTAAAGTAAACATCTCCATTTCACTTAAAAAATGTATAATAGTTTTAACCAGTCAGGTAAATACATTTTTAAATGCTAATAGTCATTTATTCATCAAATGTTTATTGAATGCCAGTTCTTTTTCAAAGAGATTAGATTTTGTTGGTGAAATAGACAAACCAGAATAAGTACTGTTAAGAGAAATAGAATACTGTGGAAACACATGGTATTTTTTAGGGTAAAATATTAAGTATCCACTTCCTTCATTCTTCAAAGATTAGCATAAAATTTCTCTTTGTGATTTTGTTGTTGTTGTTGTTGTTGTTTTGTAGGGGAGACAGCATCTCACTTGGTTGCCCAGACTGGAGTGCAGTGGCATGATTAATAGCTTATTGCAGCCTCTAGCTCCTGGGCTCAAGTAATCCTCCCACTTTAGCCTCTGAGTAGCTGGGACTACAGGCATGCACCACCACACCTGCCTAATTTTTAAATTTTTTTTAGAGACAGGGTCTTGCTATGTTGCCTAGGCTGGACTCAATCTGCTGGCCTCAAGCAATCCTGCCTCAGCCTTCCAAAGTGCTGGGATTACAGACATGAGCCACCACACCCACCTGTAAAGTTTTATTACTTGTCTGTACTTTAGATTTTGCATAGATATTTTCCGTAATTTATAGTTTCAGAAATACACCTGATGGAAGTAAATAACACTTGCTCGGCATCTTGTAACTCAAATTTAGGGCTGTCTAGCTCCTTTATTTCTTCTGGAAAAATCTAGAAAGAACATATTGTCTTCTATCCTGAATATATAATCTCTAGTAACCAGGGTTTAAGTAATAGTAGATGAATTAGACTGAATGAAGACTTGAATTATAGCTTTGACAGAACTGCAGAGTTTGCAGAATACTAAGTTTTGTAATATGGGAATTATACCGGGGTGTGAACACAGGGCTAATTGTTCATTCATTCATCTCCTGTATATTTAATGAACACTTGATGCTAGGTCCATTTCTAGGTTCTGGGAATACAGCAATGAATCAAATAGACAAAAATTTCTGCCCAAGTTGTTTTCTTATAATGGAGGATATAGACAATAAGGCATATAAGTAAAATTACATGAATGATAGCGGTAAGTATTAGGGAGTGAAAAAAGGGAGGAGGAATAGGAAGTATCAAAGTCAGGATAAGGTGTTACAATTTTAGATAGGATGGAGTACTAATTGATGTATGCCAAATAACAAATCACCTCAAAACACAGTGGTTGAGACCATGAGCGTTTATTTCTTGCCCACAGATTTGTGGTTGACTGCAGTTTGTCTGCTCCAGGCCTGATTTGACTGGGTGGCTGTGCTTCAGCCTTTTCGTGGAGAGGGGCAGATACCTGGATTTCTATTTAGGTTATGTTGTGATGTTAGACATCCAGGAGAGATTGAGTAGGCTATCAAATTACTGGTAGTTAAAGGAGCGGTCAGGGTTGGAGATAGAAATTGAAAGCCTTGAGACTAAATGATATAGGACCAAGTATGGATAGAAAAGACTTTTTAGGACTGAACTCCCTGATATTTAAGTATTTAGAGGTTGGAGAAGTGTGGAGGAACTGGCAAAGGAGACAGAAGTTAACTGCAAGAAGACACAGGTTCTGTCTTGACGCCATGGTTGCCTACAGGTACCAGCTTTACTTGTAGCATATGAGCTGCCTCTTGACTTCTAAAGGAGAATTTTAGGTTGGCCAAGAAGGCTGTTACAATCTACACACGGGCTCCCTCTTTACATCTGCCTTCAGAGGCCTTGAGGTGTGCAGAAGGGTGGGTGAGTTCATTTTTTAAAGCAATATTGAGTGCTTAACGTGTGCCAGGTGCTATTCTAGGCACCAAGGAATGAAAACAAAGTTTTCCTAACTTCATGGGGCTTATATTCTAGTGGGGACATGAAGCCAAATCTAAAACTGAGGGATTATTCAGTAGACATAAACGGCTGGTAGAACAAAAGTTTCACTGGCCCAGTTTCTAAAGCATGAAATCAGAAATCCTGCAGTAGAAAATTGGCACAGGTCTAGGCATGGGGTCATTTAGATAACCATGTGCCCAATATAGCTAAAATAATTCAAATGCTAATATTAATCTGATTCTACCCCTTATGCAGAGTCAGGAAACTAAGTGTATGATTAGTGTCAACTCATATTTTTCAGAAATGTTACCTTTGTCACAAAGCCAGAAAATCTAAAAAAAATTAATTCTCCTTTTACAATTATTTTTCCTGTTTTCTTTCACAAGTATCAAGTATTACAGTTCAGCTAAACTCTAAATGATTTGCCCAACCATGAAGTTAACTTTCACTTTTCAAACAGTTTCTGCTTTTTCTTTTTATACATTTCACAGCATTCAACTTTAGGTTAAGAGTACAAGGTTTGAATATTTTGAGTATATATTCCCCCATTTTCATATCTTATACCACATCTCAAATCTAATCACATCTATCCCAGAATAAGAATGTTGCCTTGCCTTTTTTTTTTAATGCAAGTACTATCCATTGTTTCTGAATCCAGTGTTAAGTATAAGTAGAGTGTAAGTAAAGATGAAAATGATATACTTTTAAGTTAAGGAACAGTAATCCTGGTAATTACTATTTCTTGAAGACCTATCTTCAAGATAGGTGCAGAGCATGGGTCTTTGCTTATCTCACTTTTAAATTTCTGGTCTTTCAGAAAATAAATACTATCAGGCTTATGAAATGAGTGGATATCTATTTCCTGAATTAAAATGTGAAGCTGTTTTCGAAGACAGTAGTGTCCAGAGTACAGTATGCACACCTCAGGGGATATGTGAAACTGTCCATTGAGGTGTGGGAACAAATATTAAAACGTTTTTTACTTGCTTTTATCTTATTCTTTTTTTATGTTATAATAATTATGCCTGCATATAATTTATAAGTGAATTGATATTCTTATATTTTCAGCATATTCTCAGATCTTTTACTGTTTTAGGGCTATGTGATCAAAAAAGTTTGGAGATTTCATTTTTAAAAATCTTTAACTTTGAGAGATCATTTAGCCAGGTGTGAACTATTGTCCATTTCATTGTTTATTTCAGTACCATGTATAGTATCTGAATTGTTTTGTTGAATAGAAAAACTCTTAGCAAAAACTAGTGTGACTAGTGACTATGAAATATTAGGCTGGCATGATTAATAACTTTTATAGTATTACTAAGAATGTGTAAATAGTTTCATTTCTGAGTATGCATATGTGCATATTATCTAGTCCAGCTCATAATTATACACTAAGCTTATATAAAATTAAATATGTTACTAGAAGTAATGGGACATGGAAGAAAATAGAATTGCAGTTGGTAAAATTTGGGCATGAATTTCTGCTCTTACGGATTTATTAGCTATGAGACTCTATAAGCCTCAGTTTCTTAATTTTTAAAACTTATTACAATAATGTTTATCTTCCATAGTTGTGTAAAGATCAGATGTTTATTCAAGGTGCATAGCTTAGAGCGTGGCACATAGGAGCTGATGAAAATTAAGCTTATTTTCAATGCAACCCAAGGTAATACACTCAGTTAATACTATATGAAAAGAAACTCTTTATAACCAAAAGCTCGCTCTGCCTTCTTACCTACACGCTTCTTACAAATGTATGCTTTTCTGAGATAACAGTGAGCTGCCAATTTTCTTACATGGGGTGGAGCAAGCTGGAGGTGGATAGGGCAAGCTTTCATTGGTGGTGGTAGAGGCAAGTACATGAAAGAAGTATTCCCATTCCCTATTTGATTACCATCTCTGCGTGCGTTATGTCTCAGGATTCTCCCTTCTTTTCTCATTATCTAACAACTATAATGACAACATAATATTTTTAAATTGCTGAAAATATTCCACCTTTGGAGTATGTGCTTAGGGGTAGCATATGCTTCTTCCAGTGGTTTCTAGCTACGTTTCTGAAGAGTGTGGTTTTAGCAGTGCTATCTGTAAATGTTTGAAACTGATGGCTTGTTTAGTATCTGGATAGTTTTTCAGGTAAATCCTAACTTGTGCATATTCATTGTAGGCACATTCCAACTATTCAAAACAAATTAATATGTATACTATAGGTTTACCTGTGTAAGTCCAAAAGTAACTAATTGAATAGATCTGAACAGAATTTAAAACCTGCTTAAGACAAGATGTTAATTTTGCTTTAGGAAAGGATGTTTCCCATGTTGGCAGATTTGTAACAAGGGGTGATGAGTATACATTATAAGGCACTTATTTCCTGGTTTAAGCAGATATATTGCTAACAGTGATCTTTGCAAAGTGGCAAGAGCTAACATAAACAGTGATCTTTTGGGATAGAAAATATCTTCCAGTTTCTGATAACTTTTGCAAAGATTTTTCCACCATCATCCATAAGTTCTGGAGTTTGAATAAGCAAACTGTATGTTCTTTGGGAGCAAATAATATTTTAGCTACTGGTGTCTAGGTGTATTTATTTTGTAGCTTTACCAGGAAGTTAAACAAATTAAAAAATGGAGAAATTAACAGTAAATTATAAAACCAAGTAATCAGTATATTTTGTTCATACTAATTATTGCTAATACAAAATAATGGTGCAACTTGTTAACTTGTTATTCTTTGAGTCTAACCTAATGGCCTCAGCCATTTTTGTCTACACAGAGCTCACTAACATACGAGAAATAAAGACTTTCATAGTGCTGTAACCACAGAACAACTGCACAGTGGACCGAATGTTTGTGTCCCCCCTCATTCAGTGTTGAAATCCTAACCCCCAATGTGATAGTATTAGGAGGTTGGGCCTTTGGGAGATAAATTAGGTCATGAAGGTGGAGCCTTCATGAGCAGGATTGTAAAAGGCCAGAGAGCTCTCTCACCCTCTTTCTACCATGTGAGGATACAACCAGAAGTTAGAAGTCTGCAGCCCAGAAGAGCACCCTTATCAGAACCAACTTTGCTGACACATTGATCTCAGACTTCTAGCCTCCGGAACTGTGAGAAATAAATTTCTGTTGTTTCTATAGTACTTTACTATAGCAGCCCCAATGACTAAGACAGTCATTTCAAAAGCCACAAAGAATGGCTAGTTATTGCTGCTAATCTAGCAGATGTACTCAGATCAACAATAGTTAAAATTCTGATTCCAAGGAACTCCTATCACAAAATGTCCTGCCATGTTCTTTGAAAGTGTTTTCTTCAGTGTTTTTAAGGGTTGAAGTGACCATAGCATCTTGATGTGTCAACTTTGAGGAGTTTTTTGGAATTCTTTTGGTAAAATTTAGCAGAAATGATAACTAGCAGTGTCAGAGTCTGCTTGTTAACAGACCCATGATCTTCTGGAGTACATTTAATTCAATGTTGAGTTAGGAAATCCAGCTTTTCAAAATAGCTATCAAAATTTTAACCAAGTTGCATGTTCAAGGTGGTGGTATTACAGCATTGTTTGTAATAGCATTTTTTTTTTTTAAAGTCAAACCTAGAGACAGCTGAAGTTTTTAATCAAAGGTCTGGTAAAATGATACATGCATACATTGGTATATCATGCAGTTTAAAGACTAAAGTAGATGTATATGTGCTGGTATGAAAAATGCAAGGTGCTGAACAGTGTGCACACATTATGTTGTCTTTTGTGTCATGTGATGTATTTGAAAAATAATTTTTTATCCCACTTCTTAAATCTCATTAACATTCCTTTCCAAACAATAGCATTTCTCCTTCACAGTAGGGAATTAGAAGAAAAGTTAATTAATTTTGCTGCAAACCTAAACAGTTAAATGATGATGATTATGATTATGAAAATGGTGATGATAGGAACACTTATATAGTGCTTACTACGTGCCAGGTACTATTCTGTCTTTTAAGCATTTAATCTTTACAACCCTATGAAGGAGGTACTGTTGTACCTCCTATGGATCCCTATGTTTTAGATAAGGAATACCCTTACAGTAGTTTAAGAGCACTGTAATCACTCTGTAAGGGTATGCTTTGACACACACTCTGCTTTGACACTCACTAGCTAGCTGTGTGATTTTATGTGAAATTAATAAACTTTCTCTGTGCTTCAGCTTCCTTATCTAACGAAGAAACTCAAATAATTTTGACATTAATGGATATCTGCATACTTTATGTCATTTTGCTTTCTTGTAGACGTAAGTTTGTTTGTGTCTGTACATGTTGTATAATATCAGGATGGTCTTATTTTTCTTCCCCAGAACAATCTCTAGGTCCACTTAATTAAGCTTGTTAATCTTAACTCATTCATTTAGCTGAATGTTTCTCAATGGAGAGTAATTTTATGCCCCAAGGGATACTTGGCAATATCTGGAGATATCGTTGATTGCCACAATGGGGCTGAGGTGTGTGGATGTGTGGGTGTGGGTGTGTGTTGGTGGGGAGCTGCCTCTGGCATCTGGTGGATGGAGGCTAGGGATGCTGTGAAACATCTTAAAAATGCATAGGAAAACTTCCCGTAACAGGGTTATCCAGGCTGGAATGTCAGTAGTTCCAAAATTGAGAGAGCCTGATATACTGGGCATAGGAAAAGTTCTTAAAAACTGTATTCCTTTCCTGAAAAAGACAAAATATATTACTTTGTTTTAAGTTAGTAGCGTGGAGAAAAGTATGAGCTTTATTTTTATTGTTTTCCACACCGATACTCACTTTTTCCTCCTGGCATTGTATAATCTGTAAGTGCTAGAGTTGACAAGGGAGGGAAATTCACGGGACATCCACCCACACTTTGAAATGTAAACTTGTTGGCATATTAGAGTCTCTATCTTGGCCAGGTATTTTTGAAATCAACCCAGTAGTGCCATAGATAGTTGTTTTTGGATAAACATAGAGATTGACCCTTCTGGTGTTAAAGCTTGAAACTTGTATTTATTTGAGTTTCTTCCTCAGGAAACGACCTTTAGGCCTCTCAAAAAAAAGTATCCAAGAACTGAAAATTACCAGATCACTTCACCAGATGCCTCTTTGCCCCTCCCTAGTTATTATTTTTTTGCACATTATTACATTTCTTCCCTGCTATATAAACCCCTAGTTTTAGTCAGTCAGGGAGATAGATTTGAGATTGAGCTTCATCTCCCCAGCTGTAGCACCCAATTAAAGCCTTCTTCCTAGGCAAAACTTGTTTCAGTGATTATCTTTCCAGGCGGCCAGCAGTAGGATCTAGACTGAACCCTTGGTATTTTGGTAACATTTTAGTCAAGATGAACATTTGAGTGGATTTTTATAAAAATGTGCCTATATACAGTTTAGGAAGGTGATAGTAACACAAGTTAAATGTTTAAGTGGATTATTAAAAAATTATGCATAAGAGCTGTGCCTGCTTTGACGTGAATAAACACAGCTTTAAAAATGGAAACAAAATACCTTTACAACTAAAAAAAATTGTTAAAATTTCAGTAAGTAAGAGGGAAAGTAGGAACTGAGAGTTCAGGTAGAAGGAACAGTAAGGAAGGCATGTCACTGTTTATTAAGATATGGATGGTATTACCTTATTTTTCAACCAGTAAAACACAGCCTACAGATAAGATCATCTTGGTTAGTGGATAAAGGTGTGCTGTAAATTGACATTGAACTTTAGCTTGCCCTCAGATCAACCAACAAGGACCTAAATAGATTTCTGGAGAAGAGCAGTCTCTTAATCCCAGGAAGTCAGAGTAAATTTAGTTTACTGCCGACAGGGAAAGTCTATTGAAATGAATACGCTAGGGGAAACTAGATTTACCTTTCTTTTTTTTCCTTCATGTTAACGCTTTCTTAAAAGGTTTCCTCTTCTAGAATGGTAAAAACCTTTGGGTTATTTTAGCAGCTCAGTGGTGACATTTCAGGCTGACTGCTTCCTTTTGGTTGCTAGGCACTTCGCCTTTCTCGCAACAGAGGCTGTAAAGTGCTACTGCTGTTGCTATTGCTGGTAGTGTTTGCCACACATACCTGTTTAGCTCCTGGGAAATGATGAGATTGATGATTCTTTCTCCTGGAAAACCTTTCATCACAGAGATTCATCTCAGGTTGTATTTTGAGCAAGCTGAAAAAGCCCTAGCCTTTCTTAACTCTGTTAATTCGGGATCCAAGTATCTTTTTGATTTGTTGATTAATTTTCCACCCATTTCTTTTTCAAGCTGAACACTGAACAGCTTAGCAGAGGCCTTCTGTCCTCTCTTATCTCATCACCAGAGGATTTTCCTCCCTTCTTTTCATCCTTGCTGTGATCTATGCAAACAGCTACTGGCCAAAGAAGAGCTTAGCAGAGGGGGAGGACTCCAAGTCTGAGCTTTGATAAATTCTGGAAATGAGGGGATTGTTATCTGGAAAAGGCGTACATTTGTATTCTCTAGGTATGAAATAATGCCTTAACTGTTGTTACTTTTTATTAAAATAACACAGAGAATTATAGAAACCATAAAAGTAGTTTGATCACAGTTCTAAAATCCTCAGTTATGTCTTTTTCTATACAGCTTTATTAAAGAGATGAAGCAGATCTGATCTAGTGTGAATGACAAGGTTTATTCAACCTCTCTGCTTCGTTATTAGCTGTAGTTTGTATCTTTCATCAGTATTTGAACAGAGAATACAAATTAAAATATGACTTGGCTTACTGAATTTTTGAAATGAGTAAAACTATAGAATAACAATTATCTAGGAAAACTGTATTCATTCTGTGTAGGCAAGATGTAATACAGCAATGAAGTGTTTTTGTTGGGGATGAGCAAGAAATTAAGAGATATTAGAAGAAAGCTCTTTTAAATGAAATTTAGAAGGAAATCTCTCTCTCTGTGTATATATGTGTAATTTTGTGTTTTAAGATATCAGTAGCAAATTGTTGCAGAATTATTCTTGTCTCTTAATACTTTCTGTGTTACTTAGAGTTGGTGTGAGTCAGATGTAGAATATTGGTATGTGGTATCATAATTAGGAATACTTGTTTTACAGATGATTTCCACAGGACTTCTTTTAGTCCTTATACCAGGCCTGAGTTGTCCCCTCCCTTGATCTAAGCTTACTGAAAAGATACACAGACCTCAGGGTGTTTTAGATGGGTTCAGGTTCTGCATTTACTTCTTCCTGTCTGTGGTAAATTGCTTTTTTTGGTGGGGGAGGGGCAGGATATCATTAAAACAATGTTTCTTTGAGTAAACACAATCTGAATTCTTAATAAGTGACTTACAGTTGATCTTGTGGAATATATTTTATTGATTTGGGAATTACCCTATGCTGAATTACCTTTTAGTAATGGGCCTAGCTAGAAAGGCTGTACCAATCTAATTTATGGAATTGTATTAAATATGCTGTTACAGAAATGGCTACCCAATTACTGGATAAATAAGCAGTTCAGAGACAACAAATGAGAAACTTCATCCAGTCTTGTGCTTGGCAGCAAGGCAGCCTACGTCCATTTTATTTATGCAGTTGCTGCCACTTTCTTTTCTATTTCTTCTTTTGCCCCAGAGCATATAACAATAGTTTTATATATAATTTAACACTTTCCGGGCTTAGGGTAGGATCAGAAAAGGAAGCCAGCCTAGCACAAAGCACTGGAGTCTAGAGGCTTGAACTTTCAGTAAGAAGATTAAATGGGACCTGTTTTAGAAGAGTTGTTCTTGGAATAAATAGCTATGTAAATAAATATATATACTTATGATACTCTAGTCTCTTTGTTTTCATTTGTGTTGCCTCAGTGTTATTTTTCTTTCAGGAAGTATCCACAACATCCATTGATATTTGAACCACAGATTGTGCAAGTGTTCTTTACATCCTGTGTCTTCTATTTTATGGAGATGTAGAATCATGATTTGGGGAAAAAGTAGCTACATGTTATTTGTAGACTAAAAGAAAACAAAACAGTGCTGTCAAGATTGTATTAAGCAGGAACTCATATATACCTCATGGGAAATAAATTAGTATAAACCTTTTGGGAAGCCATTGAACAATGAAATATTTGTGTCTTTTGATCTATTAATTTTACTTTTGAGAATGTATTGTAAAGAAATAATCACAAATGTGGAAAAAGCTGTATGGATAATTGAGTTTATCATGGAACTATTTATAATAGAAAAAAATGGGAAATTAAATGACCAACTATAAGGAAATGGCCAAGGAAATCCCAATCAACCAGCTGTTGTATAGCCATTAAGAATGTTTACTAGGAGGATAAAATAACATGAAAGATTCTTTTGATATAACATTCAGTGGTGAAAAATGTGGGGTAGAACATCTTTTATTTAATATGATTACAAATTGGTAAAATATACCTATGCTTGGTAAAAAATAAGCATATTAAAGGATGAGTAGTGATTATGTTTGGGTGGCGAAACTATGATTCATTTTCTTCTTTTAGAGCAGTTTCAGATTTTCTTCAAATGATCACGTTCTGTTTTCATAGTGGGGAGAAAGAGTGTAACTTTCCTATCTTCATAAAAATATTATTTTCCTTACAGCATTAAAGGGCAGTATTTAAAGTCAGTTGGCAAGCAGTGGAATAAGATTTTTGTAAAGAAACCTTGTGCAGCATGGATTCTCTACCAGATGAATTTTTTGTGAGGTAAGGCCACAGTCCCCAACCTTTTTGGCACCATGGACTGGTTTCGTGGAAAACAATTTTTCCACGGATGGTGGGGGTGCGGGGAATGGTTTTGGGGTGAAACTGTTCGACTTCAGATCATCAGGCATTAGATTCTCACAAGGAGTGGGCAACTTAGATCCTTCACATGGGCAGTTCACAATAGAGTTTGCACTCCTATGAGAATCTAATGCTGCTGCTGATCTGACAGAAGGTGGAGCTCAGGTGGTAATGCTTGCCCACTGCTCACTTCCTGCTTGCTGTGCAGCCCAGTTCTTAACAGGCCATGTACCTGTACTTGTCTGTGGCCTGGGGGCTGGGGACCCCAGAGGTAAAGGATAGGTTGACAAAAACCAGCTGCATTTGTTGTATTCCTAAAGACATAATGTTTGTTTTTTCCACGTAACCTTGGGAAGCCAGTATGAACAGGAAACCCTTATGCTTCAAGACATTTCAGCAAGTTTGGTTAGTGGGTGATGTAGACTGGGTGAAATCTAATTTTACAAAAGTTCACTAGGGATTACATCCTCACTGAGGAGCTAAGAATTGAAAAATGTGCCATACCTTATTGTTCAGTCATTCTCACAAAAATGTTTTATGATTTAACAAGTGCTTACATAGACTTACTATGTCAGCATTGTTTTTAGTGTTTTTACATTATGTTTTACACATAAACCTCATAACAACTCTATGAAGTGAGTGCTGTTATTATCCCTATTTTCTAAAGGGTAATTTAAGCATGATGCAGAAGACCCTGCTGAGTGGTTCAGTGGGCCAAGGCCAAATGACATTCTCTTTTCTCCAAGCAGGGCAAGTTCAGCCCACCTCTACCTCATATAATACTAAACAGGGTCGTATTGGAGATCTCCCTCCAGGCTTGAACTATCTCATATAATAAGCAGTGTGACTTATTAATTTATTTTACAAAAGCATTTACTGATTCCTTGGTGCTTAGGGAATAAAGACTAAGACAATATTTGTGTACCTAGAGATAGCTTATTATATAGTGGGAAGATATATAAAAAGTAATTATATCTTTAGGCAAATTGCATAACTATTAGAGATTCTGTGGCTGTCTATAGGAAGAAAAAATAATTATTCCACAAAGTAACATTTGAACTGATCTTTAAAGAATGAGAAGCATTGTGATGGGTTTACAAGCAAGGGAGGATAAAAGGTCATTTGGCTGAGCTGAGGAAATAGCAAGAAAAAATACTTAAGAAAAATTTTTGGGGTGTATTTTGACTATGTTGCTAAGAGGTTTTGGCTTTATTTGTACAGAGGAGGAAGTGAGGGTAAGTTGGAGTTACACATCAAAATTTGTAATGGAGCCTATAGAAAATATAGCAGCCCACATGGCACTTTTGATTCAGAAGACATGAAGTAGGTTTTGGGCATCTGGATGTTTCAAAAGCTTCACAGTTGATTTTAATATGTATCTGGGATTGAGAAGTATTGGGTTAAAGAGGGAATGATCATGAAATGGAGTTTGCTGGTAGAGTATACACTTGAGAACATGTTATACTCTTTCTCAAACCTTGAAAGACTTCAGAATACTGCTGCAGTATTTTTCATTCCTTGATAGCACAAAGATATAACTTGTGTTTTGCTTTATTTTTTGTAGGGCAAGTGGGGCTTGGAAGTGGAGGAAAAGACAGGTTTCTTTTTACCGTGGCACCTTAAAGAGCACTGAGAATCATATTGTGAAATGTTGGCATGTGTATATCATCTTTTGTAGAAACTTTCACTAGAAGTTTGAAAATGGACAATACCATTTTATTTATCTGTCCCAATTTACCCCAACAAAATCAATTAGCATATATTAGATGATAAATGGTTGTCTGTCAAATGAATGCATAAATGTAAAGTCAAATAAGAGAATATTTATAAAGTACAATTCTGAATAAATCAGTCAATATAAATTTCTCACCTCAGTGTTATCTCTGCTGGTGTCCAGAATTAACATAGAATAAATCACCTATGACCCTATATTATGGTGCCTTTATTATGGTTCCTATACAATGGTTCTGTATGCAGGCAAAAGCAACATTACAAATAAAATTTTCAGTTCAGTATATAATACTGCAGTGTGTTCACATTTTGAGCTAAGGTTAAAAGCAAAACCTGTCAAGTGATCCCTTATTACTCAAATAGTTTCTAAATATGATACTTTTCCTCAGTTAAAAATATTTTGGAAAACTGGACAATTGTAAGTTTAGGAACCCCAAACAGAAAATAAGATGATCTATTTAAGATAGATCTCTCCCTAACCTGTAATATCTTCATAAACACACAAAACATCAACCTTTTTAAGACCTCTTTTCCCTTTACCTTGGAACAGTGCTATAAGGTTTTTTTCCCATTAGTTTGGTCTACTGCATATCTGTTAAGGATGCAGTGTTTTTCATAATTGGCTTGCTGTTTTCTCTACCACCATCCAGTAAGGGCATGGCCAATTCGTCTTCTTTAACATGAGTCTCTAAAGAGATATGGCACCTACCACCATTACCAGTCTTTGATACATTTTGGTTACACTTTCAGACAATAATTCAATTGTTAGATTCTTTACTACTACAATTTGTGTTCTTTGTGAGAAGATGCTCTTAATATACCTCATTTTCATTTAAAATAGGCATCCTGCTGTGGAGGATCAGAGGAAGGAAGAAACTGAGAATAAGCTAGAAAAATCATCTGGTCAACTGGTAAGAGAAAGTTTAATTTTCATTAACTGTTAGTTAATTGATAATTAATTATATATGCAAATGCAGTAATACATCTAGTCAGTTTAATTACGTGTTAAAATTTTTTGAGTGAGCCTACTTTCCTACCTTCATAAGTAAAATGGTCACAGTTAAATCTTGCTTTGATGATTGATACTGTATCTCAAGGTTGTCATTCTAAATACCATTCCTCACCATAACTAAAAATTAGTAAAAAAAAATTGAATGGAATCATCCAGAAATAACCCAACAATCATTTTTAAGAAATCCCTCATTTGTTTTTTGAAGGGGAAATTAAAGCAAAACAAAACCTATATACATATAAAGAAAACACACATACACACATACAGAATTTTATTTACTAAGACGTTTGAGTCATTTCTGAAGTTAAACTTATTCTTTATTTTTATTATCTTTATGGTTAGAACTTCTAGGTCTAAATGAAAGAGAATAACTCTGAATTATACATAAAAGGCTTTTATTACCAGTGATATACTTTTATGGTAGTTAAAACTAGTTGTATGAACATCATATGTTCATATATTTTGTGAAAGACTGATTAAGAGATATTTGTTAGGTTCTCATTAGTATAATTTTACCTTCCACATAGTTTTATATAATGATTGATGTCCACTTGTTAATAAGTGTATTAGTCTGTTCTCATACTGCTGTAAAGAACTACCTGAGACTGGGTAATTTATAAAGAAAAGAGGTTTAATTGAATCACAGTTTCTTAGGCTGGACAGGAGGGGGCATGGCTGGGTAGTCCTCAAGAAACTTAGAGTCATGGGGGAAGGCAAAGGGGAAGCAAGCACGCCTTCACGTGGCGGCAGGAGAGAAAGAGACCAAAGGGGAAGGTGCCACACACTTTTAAACAACAAGATCTTGTGGGAACTCTTATCATGCGACAGCACTAGGGAGATGATGCTAAACTATTAGAAACCACCCCCATGATCCAATCACCTCCTACCAGGTCCCTCCTCTAACACTAGGAATTACAATTCAGCATGAGACTTGGGTAGGCACATGTTTGCAGGAACATGGGTAGGAAAGTTTGCAGAGGTTATCCTGTAACTTAGGAGGGGAAAATATATAAACATAAAATAAGCACGGTATTCACCTGCATGAGGTTATCGCTGTAAAAAATGCTGCAGAGGAAGTATGCTATATGCACATGTATGTAGGGTTGTACAGTTGAGCAAAGGCAAGAACCAGGGGACTAGATCCAGAAAAGACATTTCTAGATGCAGAATCAGGAATACAAAAAGCAAGGAAGGTGGACACTTTGACCTGAATTTTGTTTAGATATTTAATCAATTTTGCCAAAATGGATTAAGCATCAAATATTTTTTGACAACTAACTTAAATTAAAAGTGTGGACCAGGCATGGTGGCTCATGCCTGTAATCCCAGCACTTTGGGAGGCTAATGTGGGCGGATTGATTGCTTAAGCTCAAGAGTTTGAGACCAGCCTTTACAATATGGCAAAACATTGTCTCTGCTAAAAATACCAAAATTAGCTGGGTGTGGTGGTGCATGCCTGTATTTCCAGCTACTTGAGGGGCTAAGGTGGGAGAATCACTTGTGCTTGGGAGGTCAAGGCTGCAGTGAGCCGTGTTCATGCCACTGCACTCCAGCCTAGGTGACAAAGCAAGACGCTGTAGGCATGACACTTACAATATTTCCTGTTGAAAAATTTTTATTCATGCTATAATCTTGCCCATGTATAAATTTGTTAATTAGTATCCGATGATTCTACAAGTACTTTTGAGTAGAATTGACCTTTAGTTTGAATTATATGCACTACTGATATTGGTCATTCTTTATAAGGGGTTTTTCTAGTTACTTTGTAGAATTTTGTTTTAACTTTTTGAAAAATTTCAAACCTTTAGAAAGATTGCAAGATAGTAAAATGAATAGTAGTACAATGAACATCCTTCATAGAGAGTTAGTAAACGGTTAACATTTTTCTACATAAATAATCTTATGAAATGCTATAAAATCTAAGGTATATTTGTGGAATATAGATGGGGATGGAGGAATCTTAATTTAGTACTCAAACCCATTTTTTACAATGATAACCTCCTACAAGTGGATACCGAATACCATGGTTATTTTATGTTTATATATTTTCCCCTCCTAAGTTACTGGATAATCTCTGCAAACTCTTTTCCTTGTGGCAATGACCTAGGGGAGAGAAGGGCAAAACACCATAGTTGAGATTAGACAGATAGTCCTGCAATGGACTTTATTGGTTTCTACTTACTTTCCTGTGTAGCTCCAGGTCTGTTAGAGAACTGAAAGTGAGTTAGCCCATACAAGGGCATTTCAGCATCTCAAGCTCTATGGGGCTTCTGCAATAAGAAGTTCTTATTTTCAGAGATCAACAGCAACATAATCATATTCCTAGAATTCCCACAGAGTATAAGAACTCTGGTTTCTTGTTAAGGTTTGAAGGAAGGCCATCATCCATCTGTTCTAGGCCATTTATCCATCTCTGTTGTCCACTAGTTCTTCACAACTAATGTTAGTAGATATTCCAGCAGGACTTGATTGTGTAGTTATCAGTTAACAATTACTGTGCCTTATTAATTCTGTAAGAATAAATTCCTGAAGATTATTACTATTTATACAGCTCTGACTGAATTGAGATGTTGAGTCATTCTACTTTACTACTTTGTTTACAATTTGAACTATTAACAACTATTCATTTTCAAGTTGCTGTGTGTTTAATAGCTGACGCATCAGTCATATAATGTAAAAAGCACATTTAGATATAATTTTCATGTTACAGAGAATAATATATGTAATATTTTAAGTTCCTAGAGAGCAGAGAACATATTATTCTTCCTTAGATTTTTTATAATTCTGTCATAGAAGCTAGGAGAACAAGGGAAAATGAGCTTTGTTCCTTTTTTAATGCTTTGGCTGATCTTAGAATTAAGAGTGAATGAGAATATGCAAACTGTGTAAATTTTTAATCAATAATGTCTTCTAGAACAAACAGGAAAATGACATACCTACTGATCTTGTCCCTGTTAACCTACTATTAGAAGTGAAGAAGTTATTAAATGCAATTAATACTCTACCAAAAGGTGTGGTTCCTCACATTAAGAAGTTCTTACAAGAAGATTTTTCCTTCCAAACTATGCAGGTAACGTCATAAGTTGTTATTTGGGGCAGAAGTGCAGCTGTCTGTATATGACTTTTTTAATTAAAATTCTTTTTAAACCACACAGTATAGCCAAGGTCTTGAAAAAAATCTCCATCTTACTTCTTGTAAAGGGCTTTGTTGTCAACCTTGACTGTAGACTTCTAAAAAGTTGAACAAATAGAGTCATTTGGTGCTAGCCTTTTAAGAATAATGGTAGGAATGTGGGTTGGTAGCTTGTAAGCTGTTGACTACAAGGTCTAGTGTTTATTCCAGTCCTGCTAATAACCTGTAACATGCCAGTCTGGGACAGGGGACTGCTTTTGTTCTCCTAACTCATAAAATGTTAACACATTTGGCCAGGCACAGTGGCTCACGTCTCTAATCCTAGCACTTTGGGAGACCGAGGTGAGTGGATCACTGAGGTCAGGAGTTTGAGACCAGCCTGGCCAACATGGTGAAACTTGGTCTCTACTAAAAATACAAAAATTAGCTGGGCATGGTGGCACATGCCTGTGGTCCCAGCTACTTGGGAGGCTGAGGCAGGAGAATCGGTTGAACTCAGGAGGTGGAGGTACAGTGAGCCGAGATCATGCCACTGCACTCCTGCCTGGGAGACAGAGCAACACTCTGTCTCAAAAAAAAAAAAAGTTGACACATTTGTCAAAAATGCATTTTTAAAAATCATATCCAAATATTTGGAATTATTTGTATAATAAATATTCTGGAAGCTATATTGTAGATTTCCATCTTGAAAGTAGTTTTTCTGTATAATTTGTGGTAACTTTCAGCATAAGAAAGATACCATTTCTTAATGGAGTTTTCTGAAGTTAAAGAAAATTATATACTCTTTTCTTTGTGGCAATTAACTAGAGAAGAGAAGGGTAAAGCACCATAGTTGTCTTGAGAAGGCTACATTTGTCTTTCTATGAAAGAATATATGGTTATTTCCATGAAACACATTAATACTATTATGATTAAAAATTCCAACAAACTGAAGATATTCATAAGACTTTATGCACAATTATAACCTTAACCGAGATAATTTACCACAGTATAAGTGAATTCTGGCTAGAAATTGATAGAATAATGCTACCATTTCCCTCTTATCTTTTGGAAATCACTTAGAAACAACAAGACAGAAATCAGTGGCCTTCAGATATGCAAAAAATAGCAACTAGAAGGTAAAAATAGAAGAATAGTACAGTCATCTTTTGGTATCTGTGGGAGGTTAATTCCAGGACACCCCCGGTACAAAAATCCAAGGATGCCCAAGTCTCTTATGTAAAATGACATAGTATTTGCATACAACCTGTACACATTCTCCCGTATGTGTTACACCATCTCTAGATTACATCTAGGTATTACATATCTAATACAATGTAAATGCTATGTAAATAGTTGTTATACTGTATTGTCTTTTCAATTTTTTAAAATTATTGTATTCTTTCTATTTATTTATTTATTTATCAAATATTTTCAATCCATGGTGGGTTGAATCCATGGAGGCAAAACCTGTGGATATGGAGGGCAAACTGTACTTATTTATAATGATAACAAAAGTAAAATACTGAGTAAAATACTTAAGAAATGTACAAGATAAACTAGTATTTCTTTAAGCTTGTTCTAAACCACTTACATGAGAATATCTGACCCCTGTACCAGTTCTAAAGAATCAAAATCTCTGGGGATAGGTCTTTGAATTTGTGTTTTAGTAAGTACCTAAGCACTGATTGTACTCACATTAAATTTAGAAATCAATACTGCATATTAAAACAATAAGTAAAACTTTCTAAAACTCTATTAAAGGTAAGAAATGAGGACCTGAATGGAATAGTACATGTAGGAAGACGCAGTATGTTAAAGCAGTCAATTTTCTATAAATTAAAATCCACAAATATCGCATGATTCCACTAAAATAATGGGATTTTTTTGGTTAGTGTCGCTAAATGCTAAGTCTAAAGTTCACATGGGAAATAAGAGGAAAAATAGCCAAGAAAATTATTTAAGAAAAGTATGAAGGAGTAGGGCTGGGAATTTGCCCACTTAAACATTAAAAGTTGTTATGAAGCTCTAATAACTAAAAGATTGTGTTACTTGTTCTTTATACCTCAGACATATCTAGAAAATAGAAGATAAGTTCCAGAAGTAGGACCAAATATATACAGAACCTTTATGAATGATAAGATGATAAAAATAGATAATACTAAAGGAAAAAGACAAATCAATCCCAGTGGGATATTTTAACATACTTCTCTTATAACTGATATAACATGGACACAGAATTAGTAGACCTACAGCAGACTTGCTCTAATTGAGACACACATGTATAAACACTGCACCCAACAGTGGCAGATTATGCATTCTTTTAAGTGCACACAGAACATTTACAAAAATTGGCCATATGCTAGGTCACAAAGCAAGCCCCATCAGATTTCAGAGTATCAAAATATACAGAGTATGTTCTCTAACTACTCTTCAGTTAATCTAGAAATCAATAAAAGAGATAATCTAGAAAACCGTATGTTCATAAGGTAAGATATATACCTCTAATCTAGGTAACCAATTGGCCAAAGAAGAAATCACAATAGAAGTTAGATACATTTTTGAACTGAATAAAAATATATATCAAATCTTGTGTTATTAGATAAAGCTGTGCTTCAAGGAGAATTTATAGCTTGAGATGTAAATATTAGAAAAAGAAGCAAGGTTGAATATCAGTTATCTAAGCATGACATTCAAGAAGTTAATGGAAGAACAGCAAATTAAAAGCACTTGAAAAGGAAGTAATAAGGATAGTTAAAACTAATGAAATCTATTTAAAACATAAAATAGAAAGGATCAATAAATCCAAAACTTGCTTTTTTGGAAAGACCAATCAAATTGACAAATGCGTAATAAGTATGTCCAAAACCGAAAGCAAAAATATCCAAAATCATGAATGAACATGAAAACATAAATACAAATACTGTAGTCATTGAAGATAATAGAGATAATTCTGCTACTTGGAGTAGCTACCTGGTTTGTCTCATAGCAACCTGCCTCTGTGAAGAACTTGAAAAACTGGACACATTTTTTTCTAGTAATTCTTATTTTTGCTTTTCTAGTAAATTATTTAATTCAACCTGGGATAGAAATGATTCCAACCTTTACTTAGTTCTTTTGAGGAAGGGTCAGTTTCTCTACCTTTTGTAGCAGATTCTGTCATTGCCCCCCCATACCAATTGGACCCTACCTATATTTTCAGTATGCTCTGGACAATTCTAGTTTTCCATGTCTATATCTCTATGCCTCAGGGCCTTTTTTTCTAGAACAGGAGAAAGCTACTTCTCATGGCAGCTCAGAAGACCCAAGGAATTAATATTCCCCCATCACCCCAGAAAGCACTCAATCAGTAGGTCTTGGGAGTTATTATATGAATATCCCAGTTGCCTCTTCCCTTGAGTTGGTTAATACTGAGGTTTGTATTTTTGAGTTTTCCAAAATTTCCCCGTTGTGATAACCGCAGTGGCCCACCATGGGTAACTAGCATAATAACACATCCTTTAATTAAAACCTACTTTTCCTTCACTTTATTACTTCTCCACTTTCCTACCATTGTCTCTGTACCTCCCAAATAAACTATTTCCATTGAAATCCTTTAATTATGGTCTGCTTCCATTGGAACAAAAACAGGGCCTCAATGAAAAGAATGGGCTGTTTACCAGGGCTGCTCCTCCTTATAGACCATGCACTCCAATTTTCCCCCAAGCCTTGCAAATCTGCTGAAGGCTGTGCCACAACTGAATATGGCAATTACTTTAATGAGAAAAGTAGCTCCAAAAGTCAGTCAAAAGTCAGCTCTCCAGAGATTGCCTTTCAGAGGTTTTTATTTTCATTGTGTTAGTAGTTTTCCATTGCTTTCAGATAATTAGTTTTTATATCTTGTCCCGTTGTTTTAGTTATTCTCATTGGGAGACTGATTTGAAACCACCTAGGCTGTTTGACAGAGGTGGAACTTCAGTATTATGTTTTGTATTTCTATTCAAATTCAAGAGATATTGTTTGAGCTTGGAATGTAGGTGAAGTTCTTGGCTAGAAATGTAAATTTGGAAACTGTCAGTATGTAGACACTATTTAAAATTATGATACTGGGTTACTTTACCTAGAGAACATGTATTGATAGAGAAGAGGCTCATTAAATTGATTGCTAGGGAGACTGAAATAAAGTATCTAGTCAGCTAGGAAAAAAACAGGAAAATGTTATATATGGAAACCAAGTTATGGAAGTGTAGATTAAATTTTCCATGCAGATTATACATTATTAAACAGATTATGTAATATAAACCAAGCCGTTGTGGGTAGAAAACATTGGGGAATGGACACAAAGACATAGTCCTACCTTTCATTTCAACCATGTAAATAAACTATAGTACATAATAAAGCATGCATTAGCTCAGTTGCAATCAGATTGCAGCATAAAATGGTTTACCCTTGTATTGGTATTAATGCCAGCATTCCTGTTTACCACAGGTTCAGGGCTGGAATATTTTAGCTATGTCACACAATAGAAGGTATGAGAGTGAACTGGGATTACCATTTTCCTCTGAAGTAGGTGTGGATGTTGCCAACCCTTTGGCAGGTATAGGAATGCCTTTTTAAAAAATGTTTTAAAGAGGCTGGGCGCAGTGGCTCACGCCTGTAATCCCAGCACTTTAGGAGGCCAAGGCAGGCGGATCACGAGGTCAGGAGACCAAGACCATCCTAGCTAAAATGGTGAAACCCCATCTCTACTAAAAATACAAAAAATTAGCCAGGTGTGGTGGTGGGTGTCTGTAGTCCCAGATACTCAGGAGGCTGAGGCAGGAGAATGGTGTGAACACGGGAGGCGGAGCTTGCAGTGAGCTGAGATTGCGCCAGTGAACTCCAGCCAGGGCGACAGAGCGAGACTCCATCTCAAAAATAAATAAATAAATAAATAAATAAATAAATAAATAAATAAAATAAAATTTAAAATTGTTTTAAGGAAATAGTTACAAACGACATTCATCGGACTACTTAAAAGCAAACATATGAGAACAGTGTATCTGGTTGGTATGGATTTTTTTTTTTTAAACCGTCTTTATCTCTATTTTTAAAATTTTCTCCAATGAGCATGAATTATTTGTATAATGTAAACATATGTAGATGTTTGTTCAGACTTATAGACATTTTTAACTGAATAATTTTCCACAGAGAGAAGTTGCAGCTAACAGCCAGAATGGTGAGGAAATTGTTCCTGCTTTGACTTTACGTTTCTTGATTACACAGCTAGAAGCAGCACTTAGGAACATTCAAGCTGGCAATTATACCGTAAGTGTTTTCTTTTTGGAAATTTGATATAATGGACTTGGTCAACATTTCTCAGTGAGAAAACAGCCAATGCATGCTTATTTTAAGGTGTGGGCCAATTTTTATTTTTTTCTTTTACCTCTAGAAAAGGGTATGTATAAATTGATTGCCTTCCTGTGTCTTGTACTTTCTTATATGACTGGTAGATGACTTATGTATGTCTTGTACTTTCTCATGTGACTGGCTCTGTAATAAGCCTATTCTAGTCTCCTTCCCTACCACAAAATTGTTCATCTTAAGAGAAACTTGAACTAATAGAAATGGGCTTTCCCAATCAGAAATGGAGAATCATAAAGTTAAAAAAAATAAGCCAAGTATAGAAGGACAAATACTGCATGATGTCATTTGAATGTGGAATCTAGGAGCTGAACTCACAGAAGCAGAGAGTACGATGGTGGCTAGGGGTAAGGGGTCAGGAGTACAGACTGAAGAGATGTTGGTCAAAAGATACAAAATTTCAGTTAGATGTGAAGAATAAGTTCAAGAGATCTATTGTACAACATAGTGACTATAGTTAATAACAATGTATTATAATCCTGAAAATTGCCTAGAGTAGATTTTAAGTATTTTCACCACAAAAATGATAAATATGTGAGGTTATACATATGTTAATTAGCTTGAGTTAGTCATTTCACAATGTATACATATTTTATAATGTCGTATATGATAAATATATACAATTTTTATTTATCAATTTAAAAAAGAAAAAATATTCTGTCTTTTTAAACCATAATTAATCAGCTTCTCTTTCTTCTGAGATTTCTATATTTGTAAAAGTTGGAATTTCTCTTATAGGTAAAATTAACAAAATGTATTTATGTGTTTAAGATCAAATGATACTTTAGAAATAAATAGGGTTATCTTCAAAAAAGGACTACCCAGACACCAAAAAAGGGAGCCTAAGACATTAAATCTCATATTATAATGATGTACAAAGAGACGGAAAAATAATACTTATTTAGGATTCTGGGGATTAGGGTTCTTACAGGGTGAGTTACACCATTCAGAAGGAGATTCTAGTTGGATTCCAATGAGGAAACAAAGAAAATGGGGGATTTGCATCTTGTAATCCTGAGAACTTGGGGGATATGGCAGACCTGCTATTTCTCCCACTGACCAGATTGCCAGTCAGTGAAACAAATCAATGTGAAATCAGCCTTAACAGGTACCCATTGCTTAGCCTTCTTTACTTAGACATTACTTCAAAGATGAGTCTTAGACTAGGAAATGGAAGAGTTTCTCCCTTGGTAGCTCTAGGTAGTACTTGTGAGCAGAAGTGGCATTGTGATGATCAAAGCAGTCTATTGCTGTATCTAAATTACTCTATCTGTCCTTCAAGGCCACCAAAAAGGGAAAAGACAACCTTGTAGGAGACAACAGTGGATTATGTATTATGGGGGTGCAGTTGCGAATAGCATCTCTATATTAATTTTATTCTAGTTCTTGGAATAATCTTTGCTGATGGGGAGAAGGTAGGAGAAAAGGACAGGGGCTTTAGGTTAGAAATGTACAACTTGCATCTTTAAATTCCAGAGTTTTTCCTCCTCTAATTATAGCATTACCACAATTCTGCATCTTATCTTGTTCTTAGAAATGTTTTATTTAGAATTATATTAGCTAGTCTCTGTTATGTTATTCATGAAGCTGTTTTCTTTTAATTACAAAATAATAGCTCACACTTCTTTAGTGTTTGCTGTATGACAGCCACTATTCTAAGCGCTTTGTAAAAATTAGCCCTTTTACTGTTCATAAGTACCCCATCTTAGGGCACAGAGGTTAAATAACTTGCTAACTTGACCAGGTAGTAAGTAGTGGAGTCAGGTGGCTCTAGATTCTATGGTCTGAACTACTGCCTCTTCAGGGATGAGAATTTTAAGGTGGGAACCACTTAGATGTTATGAGGAGTTTATATTTAATAGACTCACTTAGTCCATCAAGAACAAACACACGTCTATCTCCACTGAGATCAGTTTGAAGCCAAATTTATAATCCCAGTCAGTTATCTCCTCAATGAATACTGTTGGTCATTAGAAGCATGCAAGGTGAGAGTATACAGTTAGATCAGTATAAACAGAAAGCTTATGGGCCGGGCGCGGTGGCTCACATCTGTAATCCCAGCACTTTGGGAGGCCGAGGCGGGCAGATCACGAGGTCAGGAGTTCGAGACCAGCCTGACCAACATGGTGAAACCCCGTGTGTACCAAAAATATAAAAATTAGCCAGGTGTGGTGGCATGCGCCTGTAATCCCAACTACTCAGGAGGCTGAGGCAGGAGAATCAATTGAACCCAGGAGGCAGAGGTTGCAGGGAGCCAAGATTATGCCACTGCACTCCAGCCTAGGTGACAGATTGAGACTCCATCTCAAAAAAAAAAAAAAAAAAAAAAAAAAGAAAGCTTATATCCTATGGGTATTTATCATTCTATGTACCTAGAAAAATCTTGTTTATGGTATGGGGAAATCTTGATGAAAAAGGGTAATGTGACAAAAGATAGGGTTATAATCTTCAGTCAATATAGAGCTTATGAGCAGAGGAGTCCAGGGTTCTCCAGAGAAACCAGACTGGTTTTTGCTGTGTGTGTGTATGTGTGTGGGTATATGTGTGTATGTGTGTGTGTGTGTGTGTGTGTTTTGTTTTATATACATAAAACATACAAATACTTATATACACATATACATATACATGATTATAAGGAATGTATATGTGATTTATTATGAGGAATTGCCTCATGTCATTATAGAGGCTCAGCAAGTCCCATGATCTGCTCTCTGTAATCTGGAGACCCAGGAACGCTTGTGATATAACTCATCCCAGTTCTGAAGGCTAAGAACCAGGTATAAATCCAAGGATGAAGGCAGAAGTTGAGATGAGATGTCCAAGCTCCAGCAAGCAGGCCGGAAGCAAAAAGGGATGAATTCTTCCTTCCTCTACTTTTTGTTCTATGCAGGCTTTAATGGATTGGATGATGCCCACCTACATTGGAGAGGGCAACCTGTTATACCCAGTCTACCATTTCAAAGGCAAATTTCATCTGGAAACACGCTCAGAGACACACCCAGAAACAATATTTAATCTGGGCACCCTGTGGCCAGTCAAGTTGACACATGAACTTAACCATCACAAATACAATGGACAGGGAGGTCTTGGTGTACCCCTCACACAGTTTCCCTAAATAGTTACATAATTACATTACTCCAGAACATATTAAAAAAAAAAAAACAGGAAATTGATGTTGGTCCATGGGGCTTTGTGTCTGGGTTCTCCAAGACCACCCTCATGTTCAGAGATTTGCTAGAAGGACTGGACTCAGCATATGGTTATACTAACATCTAAGATTTATTATGGTGATGTGATAAGGATACATAGTAGATCATATGGGGAAAAGACACAGGTGAAGTCTGACGAAAGCCATCTGCAGGTTCCTCCATATTTTCTCCCTTCCATGAGAAGCTACACAGCATATACGGCCACCTCCAGCAATGAAAATGTAGCAACATCCACAGTGTTTCTGCCCAGGGAAGCCTATAAGAGACTCAGTGATCAATATTTTTATTGGGCGTTGGTCATCTAGGTACCTGCTGCCTGGCATGTATCAAAATTCCACACTTCCAGAAGAAAATCCCAGGTGCTCAGCATAAATCATAGTGTTTGCACAAATAGTCTAGACATAGCAAGGCACCTTTATCAGTTAGGGAACACTGCCAAAATTCAAGTTCCCAGACATCAGCCAAAGATCAACTTTGCAAGCAGGACTTAATAAGGATAACAGCCTCAGGCCAGCTAGGTTAGCTTTTTAATGCCCAGGCTTGTATAGTTCTGTGCCATTTTATCAAATGTGTACATTTATGTAACTACTGCAATCAAGATAAAAGAACTATTCCACCACCACAAAAATCTCTCTTATGACTTTTATGGTCACACCCACCTCTCTCCCTCTACAATTCACTGATCCCTAATCTATCTCATCTCAGTAATTTTGCATAGACCATTTTTATACGAAGGAAATATCCACATGGTTTAATTTTTCATTGAAGAAGTGATGAGCTTTATGTTCATACTATTTTGCAGAATCCATGTGGGAGAGTAAAGGATTTTGATTTAAAAGATCATTGTTTTTGTTTTGTTTTGTTTTGTTTTTGTTTTGAGATGGAGTCTCACTCTGTCACCCAGGCTGGAATGCAGTGGCACGATCTCGGCTCACTGCAACCTCCACCTCCTGGGTTCAAGTGATTCTTCTGCCTCAGCCTCCCGAGTAGCTGGGACTACAGGCGCGTGCCACCACGCCTGGCTAATTTTTTGTATTTTTAGTAGAGACAGGGTTTCACCATGTTGGCCAGGATGGTCTCGATGTCCTGACCTTGTAATCTGCCTGCCTCGGCCTCCCAAAGTGTTGGGATTACAGGCATGAGCCACTGCACCCAGCCAGATCATTGTATTTTTAAAGGTGGATGGTAGATACTTCAGTGTTCGTTATATTATTATTTAATGTGTTCTTGATACCTAAAATATTACATAATAAAAGAGACAGAGTGAATGAGAGTTTTTGAAAGGTTTAATGTAACAAATTTTTATACTTCTTTTTTACCAGTTTTTAAAAAATTTTATTTTTAATTTTTGTGGGTATATAGGTGTACATTTTATGGGGTATGTGAGATACTTTGATGCAGGCATACAATACATAATAATCACATCAGGGTAAATGGGCTATCCATCACCTCAAGCATTTATCCTTTGTATTACAACAATCCATTTATACTGTTTCTTATTTTAAAATGTACAATGAATTATTGTTGACTGTATACTCATTTCAACAGATGCTGAAAAAGTAGGGTTGGTATTTTTGTAGAGATGGTGTCTCACACTATTGCCCACTTAGGTTAAAATGGCTTATGTACAAAATACAGGCAATAACAAATGCTGGTGAGGATGTGGAGAAAAGAGAACCCTCTTACACTGTTGGTGGGAATGTAAATTAGTAAAACCACTATGGCAAGCAGTTTGGAGGTTCCTCAAAAAACTGAAAATAGATCTACCATAGGATCCAGCAATCCCACTGCTGGGATATACCCAAAAGAAAGAAAATCAGTGTATCAAAGAAATATTTGCATTCTCATGTTTATTGCAGCACTATTCACAATAGCCAAGATTTGAAAGCAACCTAAGTGTCCATCCAGATGAATAAATAACGAAAATATGGTACATATACACAGGGGAGTACTATTCAGCCATAAAAAAGCACAAGATTCCCCCCAGCACTTTGAGAGGCTGAGATGGGAGGATCACTTGAACTCAGGAGTTCAAGATCAGCCTGGGTAATAGTGTGAGACCCCATCTCTAAAAAAAAAAAAAATTAAAATAATGAGATCCTGTCACTTGAAACAACATGGATGGAACTGGAGGTCATTATGTGAAGTGAAATAAACCAGATAGAGAAAGACAAACTTTGCATGTTCTCACTCATTTTTGGGAGCCAAAAATTAAAACAAGTGAACTCAAAAAAATAGCTAGTAGAATGATGGTTACCAGAGGCTGGGAAGGGTAGGTGGGGGTTGGGGAGACAGTGGTGAATTCTTTAGCATGTCAATTGCTTTTTTAAGCTCCAGAATTTCTACTTGATTTTTAAAAATTATTCTCAATTTCTTTGTTCAATTTATCTGATAGGATTCTGAATTCCTTCTCTGTGTTATCTTGAATTTCATTGAACTTCCTCAAAACAGCTGTTTGGAAGTTTGTGTCTGAAAGGTCACATGTTTGTCTCTCTGGGATTGGCAACTGGTGCCTTTTTTGGTTTGGTAAAGTCATGTTTTCCTGGATGGTCTTGATGCTAATGGATGTCCATCGATGTCTGGGCATTGGAGAGTTAGGTATTCATTATAGGCTTCACTGTATGGCCTTGTTTTGTACCTGTCCTTCTTGGGAAGTCTTTCCAGGTATTCAAAGGGACTTGCATATTGTGATTTAAGTCCTTGGTCACTGCTGCTATATCTGCATTAGGGGACACTCTAAGCCCAGTAACCCTGTGTCTCTTGCAGATTCATAGAGGTACCATCTTGGTAGTCTTTGGTGAGATCTGGAAGAACTCCTTGGATTACCAGGCAGAGACTCTTGTTCTCTTCTTCCTTTACCCCAAACAAACAGAGTCTCTCTCTCTCTCTCTCTCTCTCTCTCTCTCTCTCTCTCTCTCTGTGTGTGTGTGTGTGTATGGAGCTGCCTGGAGCTGGGGGAGGGGTGACACAAGCATTCTTGTGGCCACGACCACTGAGACTCCTCTAGTTCAGATCCGAAGCCAGCCCAGTACTGGTTCTTGCTCAAACCCTATGGTGACGACTGCCTTGCTACCACCTATACTGAGTCTCTTCTTTCTGAGCAGTGCGTTTCTCTCTGGCCCAGGGCGAGTGCAGAAGTGCCAGACAGGACTTGAAGTCTGGAAGTGGGAACCCTGGAAGCCCACTTGGTGTTCTATCCCACTGTGGCTGAGCTGATACTCAAGCTGCAAGACAAAGTCCCCTTTACTTTTCCCTCTGCCTTTCTCAAGCAGAAAGGCATCTCTCACCATAGCCACCACAGCTGGGAATGTGTTGGGTCACATCTGAAGCCAGCATAGCTCTGAGTCTCACCCAAGGCCCATGGCGAGTACTGCTACTACTGTTGATTATTCAGGGCCCAAGGGCTCTTTAGTCAGCAGGTAATGAACCCCGCCAGGACTGGGTTCTTACCTTCAAGGCAGTGGATTCATTTCTGCCCCAGGATGTGTCTAGAAATATTGTCTTGGAGCTAGAGCCTCAGGATTCTACTGTGACTGAGCCGATATTCAAGTGGCAAGGCAAAATCGTCTTTACTCTTCTCTCTCCTCTGCTCAAGCAGAGGGAAGGTGTCTCTCCCAGACGTGTGAGTTGTTTTCCCTGGAGTTGGAGGGGTGACATAAGCACTCCCTTGCCTGCCCCATCTGGTATCTTACTAGGTTGTATACACCACAAATCCACTGGCTCCAAGCCCAGCACAGCACCAGGACATGGCCAGGAACTGCAGTCCTTGTGGCCTAGACTGCCTTTTATGTAGGACCCCAGAGCACTTTGGCCCACACTGGCAGGGCTTGCTGGAACTCAGGCTCTGACTGCTGGGATGGACAATTTACCTATGGCTAACACTTGTCTAAATGCTACCTCCGTGATCACTGACTGAGTTCTGCTCAGTATGGCTTTCTGATGTGACGGGGCAGCACTGAGTTCCAGTGCAAAGTCCTTCCCCCAAGCGCAGATTCTCTCTCCATGTCACATAGCTGTAGTCAGGGGATGGAGGAAGGGATGGTATAGGCAACTTAAGACTGTCTTTCCTACCCTCTTCAGTGCCTCTTTCCTTAATATGATGTTCAAACCAGGTAATGTGATCACTCACCTGATTTTTGTTTCTATGAAGGGGCTTTTCTATGGGGTATTTGTTCAGTGTGGTGTTCCTGTGTTGGTGACGATTGTTGGAGCTTCTATTTGGCCATCTTTCTTCCATATCCTTTCCTTTGATTAAATTTTAATGTTTTATTTTGAGATTATTGACTATCCTCTTTCTTCCTGGGTCAAATTATCAAATATATCTAAAATACATTATCGTTATTATTAGATGACTGATAATGTTTTGATAATTTTTACTTGTTTTAATAATTATTAATTAAGCTTAGGATATTTAATTAAGCTTGTTGTACTGAAAAGTAGCTTAGTCTAAATAACCAATTAACATATTTTTTTCTTTGTAGGCACACCAGATTAATATTGGTTATTATTTGACATTACTGTTTTTATATGGAGTAGCACTCACTGAAAGAGGAAAGAAAGAGGTATGTAACATGTTATTTGCCCTTTATAAATCTTTTTACATCTTGGAATAATCAGGCCAAAGATTATAATATGAAACTAAAAATATTAAAAAAGGAAACTTAATATTAGCTTATAACTTCATTTCTTTTATTTATCTTTTGAATGCTTACCATTCATGTAAAATAAAAAATTATTTAGCTTCTTTCACTTACATAATACATTTTAATCCATTTTCTAGTATAGCTTAATCCCTCTGGTTTTAATCGTATCCCTTTTGTAAAATATGAATTGTACCTCAAATTATTTGTCAAACTTAAGTGCAAATAAGTACAAATCTGGGAATTAACTAGATAATTTCTAAGGGTTCTGTTGAATTTAACATTTCCTTTTTTTTCTGATTTTTAATGATTTCTCATATTTTCTTCATAGCTTTGATATTTCTCTTATTTTTTCTTCCCAAATCTGTATTTCTGACTTCATAAATTAAATATATAAATATGACTTGTTAATTAGAATTAACAAGTGAAGTAGAATTGATAAGCAGCGAAACTGAAAACATTTCTATTTTAAATACTTTAATGTAGTACTAATTGTTTAGTGTGATGTACTAGGGAATATTTTAAAGTAAGGCCAGGCAGCATTTTTCCAGCTTTTTTTTTCTAGAGAGACTGAGGCCATTATGCCTTTTTCACTGAAGCATCTATTATAACAGATCCTGATATTTACTTCCAGACCTATGTTGTTTATGATTAAGGTGGTGATTCCCCAAAAGAGTTTATATCTATGGGCAACAAATCACTTACTTTCTATCTGAAATACTGTGAAGAATTGTGCTCCCATTAGGAAGAATGATAAAGAATTGTGCTCTAACAGTTATCAGAAAAGCCCTTATTTTGGCTAGTAGTACTTGCCAGTTAGATATGTATATGTATGTATTTAAAAGATGGCGTCTCACTATGTTGCCCAAGCTGGACTTAACTCCTGGGCTCAAGCAATCCTCCTGCTTCAGCCTGCTAAGGAGCTGACACTATCAGTGTGCACCACCATGCCTAATTGCCAGTTTTAGATACACAAATTTTTGTTACCATCTTAATATTCACTTTGAAATATTGGTTAAAGAAGGTCTTAAGTTTATTTATAAATAAATATTTTAAACACTGACTACATGATCTTTGTAATCACATGCAGAGATGCCAGGATTCAGAATGTGAATAAATGACCAGATGATTGTATTATTTTTAAAGCTGCCCTAATTTCTCCAGTTTGAGAAGTAATTGTTTATTGTAAAAAAAAAAAAAATGACTTTTACAGTAGCCAAACCTAGTTTTATGTTACTACAGGATTATACAGAAGCTGAGAATAAATTTCTGGTGATGAAGATGATGATCCAAGAAAATGAAATTTGTGAAAACTTTATGTCTTTAGTTTATTTTGGACGTGGTTTACTGCGATGTGCTCAAAAGAGGTAAGGATTTTAATTAACGGGTAGATGTTGCCTGTGAAGTCTCAGCATTGTGAAATGGAAGTAAGTGTGCACAGTATATCAGGCATTGTGACATTTGTGCTCTACTGTTTTATCCTTTTCTTCTTTGCCTATTTGTATAGATAATTTCTTTAATGTAGTTGAGAATATTAAATAGCAAACTTAACAGGCCATAGCAATAAGAAGCAGTCTAGCATTAACATTAGGAGCATAGGCTTTAGAGTCTGATAGACCCGGGTTCAGCTACATTTTTTATCACTTATGCTAAGAAACTTAATGTTGTTAAGCCTTATATTTTTTTCTTATCTCTAAAATAGAACTAATAATAGTGTAGGGTTCACTTCATGAGGATTTTGCAGGTGATTAACATTGCCTAGGACACAAAAATGCTGTACTTAATAAATAAATTATGGTTGGAGTTATTAGTATTATCACCACTAACTTGGAATAGTTTTTAAAAGTATAAAATGAGCTTATAAAGAGTTGAAAAGGGTCCAAATGCTGAGTTTTTGGAGTATTGGCTACTACTTTTAAGAAAGTGAAATTGTATGGAGGAAACTATACAGATTATCTGTTTACTTCCTATATGGAGATCCATAACCATTTGTAACATCATTCATTCATTTTATTTACTAAGTATCCATTATATTCCAGAAACTGTTAGGTGTTGAGGTTACAGTGGTTTACAAAATACAGTTCCTGTCTTCATGTAACTGAAAGTACAGTGAAAGATATAGATCTTAATCAACTAATCAGTCATAAAATATTTATGAGATAGGATAAAGAGTTATGAAGGAAACTAGAGTGAATAACTAAAGTGTTTCCTGGAGGCTGGTTCTGGGAATCAGAAGTCTCCCTGAGAAAACAATGTTTGACTAAGATCTGAGGGATGAATTTGGAAAAGTTTGCTTGGGCAAACTCTTATGAAGGATTACTGCTGGGCCAAACCACTGGATCCCTAAAAGTGTCACCTATGTGGTAGTTCCCTGATTCTTTGTAAGGTTGATATCCTATTCTCTGGCTTGCCTGTTTTTTTACTAGGGTATCCACAAGACATCTCACTTCTTGTTCACTGGGTCTGAGCAGCATGTGCCATCAATATAGTGGGGCTAGTGTGATGCTTTGTAGAATGTCAAAATGATCCAAATCCCTTCAGTCTATACTGTGACAAAGTAAGAGAATTAACATAGCCTGAGACAAGAACAAAGAATATATCCTGCTGTCCTTCCTCAGATGTGAAAACTGTTTTATTCTCTTTACTGATGAGCATTGGAGAGAATTCATTTTCCAGATCATTGACACTAGAAAGTCCAGTTGTATGGCAGTATCATTACTTTCATCCCTGGCCTATAGAGGACAACCACCACTGAGCTCCTCAAAGACACTGGTGCCCTTCTTACTCTGTAGTTCTTATTGTATTAATGAATGGGGTATCCTCTGAGCCTTTCTAGGAACACTGAATTAGTGGTGGGTTCTGTGTTTTTATGTAGTAAGTCAATTCTAACCTTCTCACTTCCTTGACTCCTTTAATATTCCTCAAGAAATTTTCAGCATTTCTTCTTAATTTACTATAGACCATTATTGTGTCCAAGTTTCAAGGAGTCTTCTCAGCACCATATTAGGACTGGATTCAGGTGTCCTTTCTAGGAAAGTAAATCTTGAATTACGGAAGAGTTTTTCCATATCAGTGTACACTTCCCCATTCAGCCTTGTGTTTACCCTTGGTTCAGCACTTTAAAGATCCACTCCCACTCATGTTCCTGCCAGTACATTCTAGTAGGGTTCTGCAATTCTTATGATTAACAAGCTTTTTCGTCCTGGGCAAGGGCTCTGTTTTCTCACTTGGGCTCTCCACCTGACCTTAGATTTATTGTCTGAAGGCAATGAGGTAAGGGAAGTTTTTTTTTTTTGAGACGGAGTCTCGCTCTGTCGCCAGGCTAGAGTGCTGTGGCGCGATCTCGGCTCACTGCAACCTCCAACTCCCTGGTTCAAGGGATTCTCCTGCCTCTGCCTCCCAAGTAGCTGGGATTACAGGCATGCGCCATCATGCCTGGCTCATTTTTGTATTTTTAGTAGAGATGGGGTTTCACTATGTTGGTCAGGATGGTCCCGATCTCCTGATCTCGTGATCCGCCCACCTCGGCCTCCCAGAGTGCTGGGATTACAGGCATGAGCCACCGCACCCAGCCAGTAGGGGAAGATCTTAAGAAGGAAGGGCATCATCTTTTGAGACATGCGTCTCAGCTGATATTTTTGCATGGTCTCTAAATAAAGGTAGGCTGCTCTCCTGTGGCAAGGAGGAGGTCTTTGCCAGTCAAGAGGGTTCATGGGGGAAATTTAAGGATTCAATATTTCTAAGCACATTCACCTAAATATCCCCATTTTAGATCCTAGGGTCTACTCATTGCATATCAAAGCCCTAATTTTAGTGTAGTTCTGTTGAGGCTGTGTTTTGGGTCTCCTTTGCAGCTGTTCTACCCTTATGGTTAAATCCTGAGCTTCATTTTCAGCATAGTCTGCCTTATGTCTAGAGGAGGTTCTTTTGATGTTGCCATAGAAGCCTTCTAGTTTTCAGTGTCCTGAGTTGATGGTATTAGTCTTGTTGAGGCTGTGCATTCAATATCAGTTTGTTTCACTTTATGATTAAATTTGGGCCTTATTTTCAGCACGGATTATGGCCATAGGGGATGAGAGTCTCTTTCAATTGCCCCCATAGAGGCCTTCTGGCTTTCACAGTGTATCCTGAGTTAATAGTTGGCTGACCTGTGCCTGTCATTCTCTTTCTTCAAGGCCTCCAAGACAGTTTAAAGCCAACCAACTCTACAGTCCCTTTAATTACCATGGCCCCCATACTGTTCAAGCTTGAGCTACTACATAATCTAGTGCCTCCCCTTCCACCTGTATTTCATGCCAATCTGCCACAGGTGAGAGTGCTAGTATTTGTATTTCTATGGCATGCCAGAGGTTATCACCACCCTATTTACCACAAAAAAAGGGTTATTTGTTGTCTCATTGGTAAACCATGCATCTACACAGTCCCGTTCAAACTAACCTTATTTTAAAATGCCTTTCAGATATAATGGAGGACTGCTAGAATTTCATAAAAGCTTACAAGAAATTGGAGACAAAAATGACCATTGGTTTGACATAGATCCTACAGAAGATGAAGATTTACCTACAACTTTTAAAGTAAGAAATTATTTAAGAGTAACATTTTATTTGTAACTAATCAGAATAACCAACTATATCATATTCTTACAGCAAGCATGTTCTTTTATTGGCACATAACTTTTTATACAAGAAACAACCTTTATTGCATTACCTAGTGCAGAACGTATGATTCAACAAGGAGGGAGAAGTGAGGTGGCAGTGTTAACATTTTCAAATAATGAGAAGATTAATAATGATACTAGGCCAGTACCCTGCATGGTTAGAGTCAAATGTAGCTGTTAACTTTTTTTCCTAATTATCTTTACCATTATTTTGCTGTTGATTTAAATTACAAAGTACTAAATGCTTAGTTCAGAAAACATGGAAAATATAAAAATGCCTAAAGATAAAGATGAAATTCATCTATATTTCTTCTTCAAATGGAAAAACCATTGTTAGCATTTTTATTTATATCTGTCCAGACACACACACACACACACATATAAACACCAATAGCTTTTATTTTGTGATTTTAAGTTGTGATGTTGTGCACACTTATTTGTACTCTGGAAATATATAGTATTTTTTATTTCTCAGTCATTAGACTATTATACAATGCGATTTTGCCATATTATACAATGCGATTTTGGCATAATGCGATTTGGCATAATATATATATATAAATATATAGTATTTTTTATTTCTCAGTCATTAGACTATTATACAATGCGATTTTGGCATAATAATGTATTATATAGCTTTGTTTTAATTTGCTCAACTAGTTCCCTGCTAAGTTTATTCTAAATATTTCCAGTTTTTCCTTCTTATATAAAGTGATCTTTGCATATTTCTCACGTCATTTCATTAGAATAAATTTCTAAAGGTGGAATTGTGGAGCAAGTGTTCACACAATTATAAAGTTGTTATATGTCTCTGTATTTTCTCTCAGAAAATTGTACCACTTTATATTCTTCAAATAGTGTGAGACTTTTCATTTTCCCACACCTTCTGGGTGTTCTTTACCTTTTGGGTAATTATTAACCCATCTGATAAACCATTTGTGTCTTTTTAATTTGTTTAATATGAACATAGCTAAACCAGGTTTCTCTTGGTTAATGTTTGAATGACATATCTTTTTCAAAACTTTAAAAAACTTTAAATCTTTCTTGATCTTTATGTTTTACCTGACTTTAAGGCCAAAAGCATTACTCAAAATAAAGAGAGACATTTTATTAAAATATAAAATTCAATTATCCAGGAAGATATGATAACTCAAATTTGTATATACCTAGTAATATAGCTTCAAAATATATGGGACAAAAACTGACAGAATTGAAAGGAGAAATATTTTTAAAGCCCCAATCACAATAGAATATTTTAATATACTTCTTTCAGTAATCAATAGAACATGCAGACAGCTTTTGGCATTGTCAAGGTAATCATATGACTTTTAATTTTGACTTGCTAAAGTAATAATTTTATGCATTTTAAAAATACTAAATTTTCATCCCTACTTTACAAAGCAGTCCCTTACTTGATCTTGGTTGATTTACTCTTTTTCTTCCTCTTTTTAAAATATTTTGCTTTCTTTATTATCTAACTTTTTTAGTGAATTTTTATTTTATGCACAATAATATATATATATTCAGTTTGTCAAATAATCTTTAAAGACTTAAAATAAGAGTTTCTGTTTTGTTATCTCTAACTGAAATTCTGCTTCCTAGAGTCATTCTTCCAACTTTCTAGACATTTTTCTTTGATGTTTACCTATTTTTCAAAAGAAATACTGCTATTTAAAACATATCTCCAGGTTTTTCTGTTTTGACTTCTCACTGTGAAAAATGAGAGTTTAGCTTGCTTATACATCCCCTACACACACACACACACACACACACACACACACACACACACACACACACTCTCTCTCTCTCTCTCTCTCTCTCTCTCTCTCTCTCTCCTATCCTACTGGTAGTTATGTTTTTGTTAAGCTGGCCTCAGGGTTTCCCTTCACTCTCATCCTGGGAATTTTCCTCACCTTTCTTGTATGTGGAATCCTCTGTTTCTCAGAACTCAAGTTTTCCTTCCTAGGGTTGCTTCCTTGTTTTGGTGGTGCAACTCCTCTATTCTCTAGCAGCTTCCCGTAAAAGAGAGCTTGCATGGGAGGTAAATTTTTTGAGACCTTTCAAGTATCAAAATAATTTATCCTTTGTATACTCTGTTCATATCTTGCCTGAGGATAGAATAATTTTTCTTTTCGGAGACAGGTTCTTGCTCTGTCACCCTGGGTGGAGTGCAGTGGCATGATCATAGTTCACTGCAGCCTCAACCTCCTGTGCTCAAGCAATTCTTTTCCTTCAGCCTCCCAAGTAGCTGGGACTACAGGCACACGCCACTGCACTTGGCTAATTTTTTAAAAAAAATTATTATTATTATTATTATTATTCCCTTTTTTTTTTTTTTTTTTTTTTAGTAAAGACAGTCTCAGTATGTTGCCCAGGCTGCTCTCAAACTCCTGGGCTCAAGTGATCCTCCCACCTTGGCCTCCAATTTTTTAAAAGCATTTTTCTGTTATCTTTTAACTTCTAATCAACTTCTAAGAAACTTGATTTCATTCTGATTTTTAAACTTTTGTATTTGACCTGTTTTATTTTCTTCTTTCTGGGAATTGTTAAGGATATTTCCTGTATCACCAGTTTTCTGAACTTGTGTTTTTTGCTTCTGGGACATTTTCTTGTTTTATATATTTCATAATATTTTCTTAATTTTCTCTTTTTCTTTGTGAAATACTTATTATTCAGATGCCTTGTAGACTAGACTGAGTCTCTAATTTTCTTATTTCTCAAGATATTTTTTTCTACTGTCTGGGAAATTTTCTCAACTTTGTCCTCCTACATTGAGCCGATATTTGTGAAATAATTTCTAGAGGCTTATTTATCATATATACCTTCAATACATTAGCAGTAATACTATTTGAAATTTTGTAACACTATCCCTCTAAAGGATAAGTATGAAGGACCTTATCTAATCATTTAACTTAGACCTGATTACATGATTCACTTGTATTTAATCAGCATTTCATTTATTTGTTATTTGTTTTATTCTATTTTATTTTATTTTTTAGAGATAGAGTCTCATTCTGTCACCCAGGCTGCAGTGAAATGGTGCTACCATAGCTCACTGCAGCTTTGAACTCCTGGGCTCAAGCAGTCTCCCTGCCTTGACCTCCCAAAGCACCATGATTACAGGCATGAGCCACCACTTCTGGCCATTTAATCAGTATTTTAAAATGAGAAATTATATTCTGATTTGTAACTAAAGACATTGAAAACATATTTCTCTACTGTACTTTTGCCCATTATAGCAGTGAATGGCATATTGCACTACCACAGTGGTTCCACTGCCAATGCAGTGACCTACAGGTTGCTTCCAGCCAAGATTCTCTTGGACACCAGTGATTTATTGTCTCTCTGTGTGTATATAGTAGAGCAAATAATTCTTGATAGGAATATGCCAGGTGTTATGCTATGAGTTAGATGATAAAGAGATGTGTGGCTTCAAACATACACTTCTCTCCATTCTCCATGTTTATATCATTCATTAAGAAATCCCGTACTTCTAATTTAGGACCTTCCTATACATTGTTTACTTTGAATTAGGGAAATGTTTTATTACTATTAAAAAAATACATATATACAAGTACTTCGAAAAGGGATATGATATGGACATATTACCAAGGTAAAACATGGGTAGTCTTAATTGTGGTGTTAATTTATTATTAGTAATTCATGAGAATTCTTTCTGTTTTTAAAATCTAGGATCTTCTTAATAATTTTATCAAGACAACTGAAAGCAATATAATGAAGCAGACGATTTGTAGTTACCTAGATTGTGAACGATCTTGTGAAGCTGACATTTTGAAGAACACCAGTTATAAGGTACTGTAATTGTCAATTAACAGTATTTTTAAAAAGTAATTGAAAAATTATATATAACTATATAAAATAATAAAAATTATATTATGTATAAAATATTTTAAAAGAGCATTTAGTTTAATTACAATGGTAAAGCAGTTGAAAAGTTATTTTACTATGAGAACTTAGATTCAGAGTGATCAGGAACTATTTATATTCTGTGAGTCAATAAAAGAATAAATTGGTTTCACTAAGGTTTTTGTAAGATTCACATGCATCTGAAGTTATAAGTATTATTCCTGCAGTCAGTCATACAGTGAAAATGATCTAAAAAATGCTTTACTTTATAGTTAGAATTGTTAGAGGTTAAGAATGGTAGCATTTTACTAAGGAGAAGGCTGTCACTCCGCAGGAATGATACTACTAAATAAGTGATCATTTTCTCTTCTATGGGCCTTGGCAGGGGGAAAAAGTAACCAGCCTTGATTTGAAGAAATTTAGCTATCAGAATACTTCTGATAGATCTCTCTCTCTGGATCTATCAGAATACTTCTGATAGATCTCTCTCTCTGGATCTATCAGAGTACTTCTGATAGATCTCTCTCTCTGGATCTATCAGAGTACTTCTGATAGATCTCTCTCTCTGGATCTATCAGAGTACTTCTGATAGATCTCTCTCTCTCTGGATCTATCAGAGTACTTCTGATAGATCTCTCTCTCTCTGGATCTATCAGAGTACTTCTGATAGATCTCTCTCTCTCTGGATCTATCAGAGTACTTCTGATAGATCTCTCTCTCTCTGGATCTATCAGAGTACTTCTGATAGATCTCTCTGGATCTATCAGAATACTTCTGATAGATCTCTCTCTCTGGATCTATCAGAATACTTCTGATAGATCTCTCTCTCTGGATCTATCAGAATACTTCTGATAGATCTATCTCTCTGGATCTATCAGAATAAGACTTTGTGAAATCACAAGATAGGATGAGATGATGTGAAAATCAGACAATACTCTAAAAAAAATAACTGATATCTTAATTGCGAGGCATGATGTGTACAGCCAATCCGATAGGTGGGAAGAAGGAGAAGACCAAGATCTATTCAATAGAATAAGACAGGGATTGAAAAGTGAGCCTGGTGAGATGTAGTGCTCAGGGTCAGGCTTGTTCAGTATTGGTTTAGATGACATGGTGATATGGTCCTAAGGTTTCTCAAGAATGCTTTAGGGTTCTAATCAAATGAACAACAGCATGCAGCAGCAGGAATACCTGGGCACACAATTTAATTTTTGTCATCAAAGCAAAAATTTTAAAAAGCAAGGTTGTAGTTTCCAGGCAGGGTACAGTGGGAAAGACAAGCAATCTATACCCTCGGATTATGCAGTAGCTCAGGAGCTGTCAGCAAGGCAGAAAATCTGAGTTCTCATGATTGGTAACAGAGGGGATTCAGGCAGTAATGGTATGGAGCTGGGGATGGAGGAAAAGAGAAATGTAAAAATGGAGATGAAGATGGGTAGGTAGCATGTTCCTCTGTAGACACACTCACTGGGTTTCTGATATTTTGTTGTACGTAGAATATGGAAAATATATTAATTTTTTCAAATTATTGACCTTTTTTTTACTGTCCTAATTTTCCTATCTTTAGTGATGTAAAAATGACTTGTAAAGTTATTTGGTGATCTCTGATTTCTGTTGATAAATTTTGAATGCCATGTAAAATCTATCTAATTATAGAATAATTTTTAAAGTGACAATATAATTTTTTTTATCTATACAAGAATCACCATGTCCTTATTGATAACTTACTTTTATTTTTTTCCAGGGATTTTTTCAGTTAATGTGCAGTAAAAGTTGCTGTGTTTATTTCCATAAAATTTGCTGGAAAAAGTTCAAGAATTTAAAGTATCCAGGTGAAAATGATCAGGTATTATATTCGTTCTTAAAACTACAACAGCATTTCTTCCTCTACCCTTTCCTCTTTTGTTCTCTTCCCCATCGTTTCTTCCTGTTCATAACTTCCCTCCTGCTTTTTACTTCCTCCTTTTTTTCTTTTTCTTTTACTTCCTTCTTTGTTCTTTCCCAATTCTCTCTGATGCTTATCTCCCTACCACTTTTCATTCATTATCATCATTTATTAAACAGCTCTTTGTAGGTGATACACTACTAGTTAGTTGGTTTGCTTAGTGGTTTCTATCAATTTGTTCCCTTCCTTTTAGAAATGTATACTCTTAAGAATAGAAATATTGTTGCATATATGCACATAGGATCATAGAATAGAATTTCTTAGTAAAAACACAGAAAGGATAATTATACAGTTTTAAGGATTTCCATTTTAGAGGTGAAGAACAAGGACAAATTTCATAGTCTTCAAAAATATATATGGAACTTTTAATATTTACATTTAGTTATAATAGTTACATATCATATGTAGTTATAGATAATATATAATTATATAACATATGGTTATACATTATATATAATAGTTATAATTATATAAGTTATAATTATATATAACTGTATAACTACATAATTATATATAACTAACTACATAATTATATATAACTATATAACTTATATAATTATATAAGTTATATATATATTATAATATTATAAATATTATATAATATATAACATAACTGTTATTAGCTATTATAATATATAACATATAATAGAGTTGTTTGCCACTAATATTAAAGTGGAAATACAAAGCCCAGTTCTGAATTAATTACTCTTTAGTGAGCTGATGACTGTAAGTTGGGTCTATAATGTGTGGTTCTATAGTGTTTACATTCTACAAACAACAGAAAACCCGTTTAAAGCAATTGTGGTGTAGTAGAAAGTGTATTGAATATGGAGTTGGGAGATCTGGGTTCAAGTCCAGACTGAGCCACTTACTAGTTTTATTATATTAGACTGGTAACTTAATTGCCCAGAGACTAATTTTTTTAAGCTCTGAAGTAAGGATAAGATAAACCTATTTCATAGGGTTTTTGTAAGAATTAACAGATAAAACAGAGGAACTCACATTGTAAACTGTAAAAACAATTGTATAAAGATTTACTTATTCATTTTTAAGTGGTATATACTTTACAATTTCCTTGATTGTAGGGGCAATTAATATTACTGAATTTTAGAAAGAGAAGTAAAAGAAAAATAAGTAATTTAACCAAAAGAAATAGCAGGCCAGAACTAGAGAAAGGATGTAACATTTTTATTCTTTCCTTTTCCCTAGAATCCTCACGTATCTGATAGAAATTCAGTAATCCTCTTTACCCATACTTAATTAGTACATTTTACTTGAAGTTGCTTTCTCTGGAGCAGCAAATGCATTTTAGTCTGTAATACAGCTACTTGAAGATTTTGAAGTAGAGTGAAATCATACATTTTAAATAGGATATCCATTGATATATGAAATGGACCATCTTTTAACAGCTACATGTCAAATATTCACATCTTCCAGTTTACTGTCTAGCAACATTTGCTTCTAACTACATTTATTTAAATATAATCAGATTTGCACATCAGTGATTTTTTTCTATTTTTATTTTTTTCTATTAATAAATTTAGAGTTTTAGTGGGAAAAAATGTTTGAAGGAAGGATGTACAGGTGACATGGTAAGGATGCTGCAATGTGATGTACCTGGAATTGTTAAAATTTTGGTGAGTATCTTGTTTTGTCCTTTTTTTTTTTTCTTGCTTTCCTTCCTTGGAAAAATATTTTTGACTTGAAACAGACCTGGGGATCATCATAATTAGATTCCAGCCATATTGCCTTTAATGGTGACTGAGCTCTTGAACCTTTTTATTACCATGATTTATACAAAGTAATGTTTAAGTGGTCCTTAAGAACAGTAAAAAATTAAGAATAAAGAGAAAGACACAAAAAGAGAAACAAAGACAAAATATGCCATAAGTATACCAATAAGGAAAATATCGTGAACTAAGGATAATTAATCCTTTGACACCTAAGGTTAAAAATAATTTTAGACTTTCTGAACCTCTTTTAGTCTGTAAATATCCTCCTATGAAGGTATCTACAGAACATCACATATAGTACCTGTTACATAAAATGCACTCAGATGATATCCATTTTATGTTTTAATTAATGAAATATCTTGTTGAATTTTTGGTTCATAACTAAATAGACCAAATTATGACTAGAAATGTATCTTATTTCTTTATTGTAAAATGTGCTATTTTTGTATTTCAGATTTGGCATTTAAATCCTATAGTGATATAAAGTAGAACTGCTTTTTTAAGGTCAACTCTAGTTCGTTTTTTTGATCAGGATTATTTATTACTTACCTTGTTATTCATGTTTTGTTTGTTTTATATTCACTGTGGCTTCACTCTCATTGTATGTTTCAAATGTTAAGCTAAGAAATAACATTAAACATTTTGAAAATTGAACTACTTTAGGGCTATTTTTTTTCCCCATTACTTGCAGTTTGAAGTTGTGAGAAAGGATGAATATATCACCATTGAAAATTTAGGAGCAAGGTAAGCTTAAAATAAAATACTCTGTTACCTTTTTTGGAATATGCATATATTTTTTGGTTGCTTAATTCTTCTGTGTTTCTGTCACCTAATAGAGCTGCATTAAATTTTAAGGTATGTGAAAAAATCATATTTAATTGCCATTTCTTTCCCTCTCTATCACCACTTATTGTAGACATTTACATTCTAAAGCGGAGATGGAGAAATTATGTGAATACTTTCCCATTAAATATGAAAATAATCCTTTTCTTTAAACAAACATATTTTTCTTAAAGTTAGTTTGTTATGAAATACTTTTCTATCTTTCAAAACTTATCCAAACCACTAAGCTTGTCTTACAATTAGAATCTTCCTGTTTCTTACATGAGAAAACTGTATTGCAGAGTAATATATTTGATAAAGCTAGAATTAATAGCGGTATTATAGAGTGTTGCTACTGAAGTTAGAAGTTTCAATATAAAAGTTTTCCCAGTCAATTGATTCTCTTTTTCTTCTGTTTAACGTGTAAATGCCATTTTTCAATCTAGTAGGGACATTGCATTGACATCTAAAGCATCAGTTTTCCCTTATTAGTTAATGAAGCCCAAATCTTTATATCTAGCACAAATCTCTCTCCTAAAAGCTTGACCTTATATACCTACCTGCATACTGAGTATCTCCATTTTTATTTTTCAAAAATATTTATAATCCAGCATGTCCAAAACTGGACTCATGATCTTTCTTTCTAACACTGCTTTGTAACTTTTTAAAAAGTCCTATCAATTTAGGTTTTTTTGTTTGTTTGTTTTGAGATGGAGTCTTGCTCTGTTGCCCAGGCTGGAGTGCAGTGGCACAATCTCGGCTCACTGCAAGCTCTGCCTCCCGGGTTCACACCATTCTCCTGCCTCAACCTCCCGAGTAGCTGGGACTACAGGTACCTGCCACCATGCCCGGCTAATTTTTTTTGTATTTTTAGTAGAGATAGGGTTTCACCATATTAGCCAGGATGGTCTTGATCTCCTGACCTCATTATCTGCCTGCCTCGGCCTCCCAAAGTGCTGGGATTACAGGCGTGAGCCACTGTGCCCGGCCAATTTAGTTTTTAAAATATAAATTTCTTCCTATTTCTACCCTGTCTCTACCACTTCACTAAACTAAATGAGGATATCATTATTTCTCGTTTGAAATTCTCAAACAGCTTCTTAAAACTGTCTTTAGCCTTTACTTTATCCAGTCTGTTGTTTTCTTAACCATCAATAGGACTTTTCTAACAAAAATTGGAATATATAACTTCTGTTCATGAAGATCTTTCAGAAGCTTCTCATTGCTCTTAAAATAAAGTTCAGATTCTTTAGCTTGGCTCTTCACTTAACCTTGTACACAGCTGAACTCATTCGTGCCATCTCTTGTCACTGTACTCTTAACCATATATGTACCAACTATACGGAGCTTCTTTTGGTTTCTTCAGTGTGCCATCTCAAGAAACCTCCCAAGTTATCACATTGAAGTATATCTAGTTTACTATTTGACCTTCAAGCTTTGCTTGGAATACTCTGCTCCTTTGTCTAGTTAAAGCTTTCGAAAAGCCTTACTTAGATTACAGTAGATGTTCTATCATGTATTTCCTCTATTTCTATCAAAACATTTACTAACGTTTATTACACTTTCTTGGCTGTCTTCTCCATTTGAGTGTAACCTCCATGAGGGCAAGAACTTTATCTTGTTTTCTAGTATGTTCCTAGCACATAGCATAATATCTGGCACATAGCTAGGCCACAATAAATACAAAGTAGAGATTCTGGATTCCATTATTCCCCAATGGGCAATGTTACTTTTATTTTGACAGGCCACTAATTTGGCTAGATATGAACTTTGAACACTTTCTTGGGTGGTGGATCCAGTCTCAGTCCAGATCTTTTGGCCTTAGTTGAGCTGCTTTTAGTCTGTTCTACATATGTGGTTCAGTGTTCAGTCAGAGACGTTGTGGGAAAGAATTTGGGGATCTCTTTTCTGATTACTTCCACTTATAGGATTCCCCCATTCTCTTAGTAGTCATGGTTCCATTTCAGTTTTCTGGTTTCTTCAGCCAAAGAGACCTTTTCTCTGTAGCGATGTCACCTTTCTCATTCCTAATGTTGGCAATTTGTGTCTTTTTTTTTTTGATCATTCTGGATAGAAGTCTATCAATTTTGTTGATCTTTTCAAAGAATCAGCTTTTAATTTTATTGATTTTTCTATAATATTTTTGTTTTAAATTTCATTGATGTTTGTTCTTTGTAATTTCCTTACTTTTGTTTGCTTTAGGTTTAATTTGCTTTGATTTTTTTTTAAGGTGAAAGTTTTGATCATTGATTCGAGACCTTTGTTCTTTATAAACTGATTTTACATTAAGCATTGCTTTAGCTGCCCCATATGTTTTGATGTGTAGAAATTTATTATTAATATTTTCAGTGTATTTTAAATGTTTTCTAGTTTTGTGTGTGTGTGTATGTTTTAACCATGGGCTCTTTAGGAGTATTTGTTTAATTGCCAAATGTTTGGGAATATTTCAGCTCTCTTTCCAGATATTCACTTTTAGTTTAATTCCTTTGCAATAATTTATTTTATGATCATACTACTGTATATCTTGGTGAATGTTCTACTTGGATTTGTAAATAATGTGTCTTCTGATCTTGAATGAAATAGTCTGTACATTAGATGAAATTAGTTTACAGCTCTGTTTCAGCATTCTATGTCATTTTTGATTATTTACTTTTTCTATCAGTTACTCAGGGAATGTTGAAGTATACTATTCATTTTTTTTTTGTCTACTGTCTAATTGTATATCTAGAAACTCTTATTAAATGCTACACACACATCTAGAATTGTTACCTTTTTTTTTTTTTTTTTGACAATTTGACTCCTTTATTCTTATTTAACATCCTTTTTTTTTTTTTTTTGAGACGGAGTCTCGCCCTGTCACCCAGGTTGGAGTGCAGTGGCACGATCTCGGCTCACTGCAATCTCCACCTCCCAGGTTCAAGTGATTCTCCTGCCTCAGCCTCCTGAGTAGCTGAGACTACAGGTGCACACCACCACACCCAGCTAATTTTTGTATTTTTAGTAGAGACGGGGTTTCACCACATTGGCTAGGATGGTCTTCATCTTCTGACCTCGTGATCCACCCTCTTCGGCCTCCCAAAGTGCTGGGATTACAGGCATGAGCCACCATGCTCGGCCTTAACATCTCTTTTTAACCCTGATAATATTCTTGCCTTAAGTGTTTTTTGTCTGATATTAATATAGCTACTCCAGCTTTCTTTTGATTAGTGTTTGCATGGTATATCCTTTTGCATCCATTTACTTCAACCTATGTATTTCTTTGTAGGTGGCATAGGTCTTTGTTGTTTTATATATACAATATGACAATCTCTGCTTTTAAATTGTTTTTTTTTTATTCCATTTGTATTTTCTTTACTAATTTATATGGTTGGAAATCTACTGTCTTCCTTGTTGTTTTTAGTTTTCCCTATCTGTCTTTATTGTTTATTTTCTGGTTTGGTTTATTAGTTTTACCCTTTTTTAGTGGTTGCTTGAGGACTTACAATACATATTTTTAACTTGTCAAAGTTTATTTTAAAATAATTATACCACAGCATGTATAGTGTAAGAACCTTGCAATAATAGATTTCCATTTCTTCCCTCTTTTGTGCTATTGTTTTCATATGTTTTACTTCTACTTACTTTATAAATTACATAATATATTGTTACTTATAAGTGTAGTTTAATTTTTTCTGTTTTGAACATTATATATGGAAACATTTGTTTTATGCATTTTAAAATCATATTTAGTGTGATTCCATTCTTACTATTATAGTTGTAGTGTTTTCATTTTTATTGCTCTAATTTTATATTATTGCTTCACTAATTTAATTATTCTACCATTAACAGATGTTTATTTCTAGGTCCTGGCTATAACAATAGTTTTGCAGTGAACACTCTTGTACATGTCGCTAGGTCAATATGAGCAGAAAATTTTCCAGAATATATACCTAAAAGTAGAATTGCTAGGCCACCTGTGTATATCTATAACTTTACTAGCTTTTGCCAAATTGTTTTCCAGAGTGGTTTTACAAATGTACACTCCCCACCAACAGTATGGGAGATACCTTTTACTCAGTATCTTCCCCAATAACTTCATATTGTCAGAGTTTTACATTTTTTCAATGTAATGTGCAACTAACAGTGTTATAGTGGTACTGGAGATAGAATCAGTTAACAATAACAACCACCACCAAAATCCCTTTCCTCATTAAGCTTACATTGTAGCGTTGTTGTCCAATATTTTTTTGTTTTGTTTTCCGTGGTTCATTTCAAAGCCAAGCCATCTGTTTAACGGCAGCATTTACCTAGTGCTTAGTCTAGTTAATACATTTTGCTACTTTATTTTTTATTTTTCTAATTATTTGTATTGATGTTCTACTAGCATCTTTATTGTTTTTAATCAGTAGGTGTTAAATGAGTTGGGGTTTCTTGGAATAGTTATTGCCAAAAATATTATATGGTGAAGAGAGGGCCAGGGAGGACTTCCAGATTTGCTATTTTTTTGTTTGCTTGCTTGCTTTTTTTGTCTTACAATGCAAAGCTTTCTTTCCTTTTTTTTCTGCTACCACACAGCCTTTTTGCAAGGAAGTTTGTAATGTGATAGTTTTAGTATGAAATCTGGCAATACTGCTTACTTGATAATTCCAATGAAAGTGACAGTGTAGGGTTTTCATTGTTGGTGAGCTCTATTTGTTCATTATTTTTTCTCCTTCTTGAATTATTTCTAGGAGAAGATGAAAATACTCACTTAGCCATGCTCATACTAGAAATCTTGACTGACTTTGGTATTATTTTATTTCCACTATAACTTAATTTTTTTCCTTTTGCAGTTATAGAAAGTTGATATCTCTGAAAATAACTGATACTGATATAAGACCGAAGATCAGTTTAAAATTTAATACAAAAGGTATTATTTTATTTTTATATGCCTTCTGTTGAAAAGTATGTTAAAATTTTTGACTTCTCTGTCAACTTTCATGCCATTAACAACCACGTCTTTACTGTGTTTGTCATTCACTGAGCTTGGGTTTATACCAGCAAGCAGCGCTTGGTGTAGGCTGGAAATCACAGACAGGAAGATCAGCACATCTATGGATCTCACATTACCTTGACATCCTATAGAGAGGCATGCTAGGTCTGGTGCATAGCTGTGACTATACCGTGGGATTGTGTTCCAGCAGAGGTTTTCTACCAACTGTTCCTTCCCTTGCTGCATTCCTTCTTAATAGAGCAAGCATTAGAGTACCCTTACATGAAAGGAATGAACATTTTGAGTTTGAGGCCAAGTTTTGAGGCTAAGTAATCTAAACTAAGCTGCCAGCTTCTTAGGAGTGTGCTAGGAAATGTCCTGCCCAGAACCTGGAGGCCTTAATTAAGGGACCCTGGGCCCATAGAAGAATAGTTTGGTGGCAGTCCAGCCAACTTTTTATTTGGTAACCCAAAGAAAGCTCCCTGTGTCATTAGCTTTTTAACTTGCCTCCACAATGTATATCAAGTATTTCAAGCAAAAACGTTAATTTAATAAATCTCTTGAAACATAGAATCTTGAAGGATAAAATAATAAGGCTGCATTTTGTGACAAACACATATTTTGATATCCATATAACACCAAATGCCATTATATACTAAATTATTAGTACTTTCTAATTCACTTCAGCCGACTTTTCTCCTTTGAAAGCACTGTTAAAACAGGAAAATACCAAATAGTTCAGTTTCATGCCTTATTCCATGTTATTGATGAAATACCTACTTATCTTTTTTTGAGGGGGTGAGAAGATGAGGTTTATTAGATCACAGTTTCTCAAGCATTATACATATATTTGAAATATCCGGCAATTTTGTTAAAAGGCAGATTTCAGTAGGTCTAGAGTGGGGCCTGAGACTGTGCTTTCCTAACAGGCTTTCAGGTGGATGCTTGATGCTGCTGGTCTCTGGGCTACCCTTTGAGTAGCAAGGAGCTAGATCTTTTGGCATTTCTTGATATAGATCTGAGCTATCTAGTATAGCAGTCCCTAGCTGTATGTGGCTACTTAAATTTAAATTAATTAAAATTAAATTTAAAATTCAGTTCCTTAGTCACCCAAACCGCATTTCCAATGCTCAGTGAGTATTAGTGCAAATATAAAACATTTTATCACATGACGTTCCATTGGGCAGTGCTGATTAGGATAAAGTATAATTGTTTAAGTAAAGTATAGTTAGACATTGACAATTAGCATTCTTGGCAAATTTCAGAATTTTTAAAGACCTAATACTGTGATGCCATGTTGTTGCTAAAGGTCATTTACTTGAACAAAACCTTGGATGACTGAAAGACTTCTGTGGTGATTAGTCTTTGTTATTACTTTTGCTTGGGAACATGTTGTTTTTGTTTAGGTTTTTTGACAGGCAGAAAGCAGCATGCTAATTGAGCACTGGCTGTGGCAAAGCACTGTACTATCCTTCATTCTTTTGGAATAGTTTTTATCCTACAGGAGCTTAGGATACAATGTGAGAGACCAAATAGAAAATGAGCATTAATGTGGAATGTCTTGACTTCTCAAAATTTATTTTCAGATGAAATGCCTATCTTCAAGCTTGATTATAATTATTTCTATCATCTGCTTCATATAATTATTATTTCTGGTACTGACATTGTTCGACAAATATTTGATGAGGCTATGCCACCTCCTCTTTTGAAAAAAGAGCTTCTTATACACAAGAATGTGCTGGAATCCTACTACAACCATCTTTGGACCAATCATCCTTTGGGTGGATCATGGCATCTGCTTTATCCTCCTAACAAGGAGTTACCGCAATCCAAACAGTTTGACTTATGCCTCCTGTTAGCTCTTATAAAACATTTAAATGTGTTCCCTGCACCCAAAAAAGGATGGAATATGGAACCGCCATCTTCTGACATCTCTAAATCTGCAGACATCCTGAGACTGTGCAAATACAGGGATATCCTCCTTAGTGAGATTTTGATGAATGGTCTCACTGAGTCACAGTTCAATTCAATTTGGAAAAAAGTTTCAGATATTCTTCTGCGCCTTGGGATGATGCAAGAGGATATTGACAAAGTGAAGGAGAATCCCATTGAGAATATCTCCCTTGATTACCATCAGCTATCTGTCTACCTAGGCATACCAGTACCAGAAATCATACAGAGGATGTTATCCTGCTATCAACAAGGTACTAAATGATTATTTACTTCAGCCAATAAACTTCCATTGATTGAATGTCTGCTCTGTGCCAGGCACAGTGCAAAGGGCAAGAGATTCAGTGAGCTCATGGTTTTGGGAAAATGGACTCATCAGGAAGGTAATAGAAATTATAGTGCTAGAGATGTTTCCAGAATACCATGGGAAATCCTAGGCTAAAGAAGTCCAAAAAAGCTTTCTGGAGAGTATCATAGTTAAAGAACTATTAATGGTGTGCAGAAGTTAGCCAGGTGAAGCAGACTGAGAAGAATGTTTCAGAGGGAAACAAAAATAAAGGTATAGAAACATAAAAATATACTGCAGGCAACTAAAAAATGTTGGCTTCATTGAGATTAAAGTAGGGGAGAGTTCATAGAGTACATTCAAGAGGATTTTTTTGTCACATTAAGGAGTCTGCATTTTTCAGAAAGAAATTGTTGAAGACTTTTGAGTACAGTTTTATCACTTTAAGTGGAGTTTTATTCTCCAAAATTAATAAAGTTTAAAACCATGACATGTAAGTACTGTGTGGTTTCAAAGATGTTCGTTTAGACACAGTGTGGATGTATGTTTCTTCTACTTTCTAGCAGAATCTTGTTTAGTTTACAATTTTAGCAGCTATTCATTGGCTGTAGATAATTTTAAAAATCAGGTAACATTCATGCAAGTGTTTGTATTGGCCACTCCCAAACTTGTCTATTGATACGGAAAAGACTTCAGACCTCCTTTCCCACATCTCAGGATACCTTCTCAGCTATTCTTTTGGAAAGCAGAGTTCAAGGCATGACAACATCTCTGAAACCCTGCTGTGCTATTCAGGATGACTTCCTGGTCTCAAGTTATTTACAGCCTAATGAACAACTGATAACCACACTGATGCTATATAAACATACAACTGTAAAAGTTTCTAGTGAACTGGTCCAGATTTTCTTCAGAGATAATTGATGTGCCCAATTTCAGTCCTGGTATTTACTAAGGCTCTGGAATACCTTTGTTTTCTTGCATAATCTAAGAATGAAAGAGGAGGACACTGAGTTTGATATATAAGAAAGTCAGGCAAGAATTTTTGACTTATAAATTAGGGTTTTAAAAAATACATTTACTCTATTAGGATTTTAAATAATTCATGAGAATAGAGTATTTGAGAAAGAGTTTTGAGCACCCATTCAATTCAAAGCATTTTAAGCAGTTCTTACTCAAGTACACTGAAGAGCTTATTGGTCAAGTCCCTTTACTAGAGGCTTTCTTACCATCTTATATTTCTTTCCTCAGCTATTCTAGTTGCTTTTTATTTGGATATCTGATAATTTGATTAACATCCATCATCCCACTAAATCTCCATGAAGATTGTCTTTTTTTTTCTTCACCATTCAATCTCTAGAGCTTAACACAGCCTGATGTACATTGTAGGTGCTCAATAAATATTAATGGGCAAGGAGAGCAAGTGATGATCAGATAAATCAGATTGCTAAAAATAGGTCCCAACTTTCAGTGGAGGTTTGCTGTGTAATTAACTATTATTTCATGGCCTTAGATGGTAAACATAAATATTCGTTGCTTGGTTTAAAGTGCTTGTGTTCTAGGCTTTATCTGTGATACCACATTTTTGTTTACTTTTTTTTCTCTAATCATGGGTTTATAACCTTTATGTGATAATCTAAAGATTGTGCCTTGTCTAAACTGGATTGATGAGCAAAGCTGGTTATTTTTCCAGTTACTTACAGAATAAATTGGTGCAATATAAAAATATTCTGCCTTAATCCTAGCCAGACATTCATTTGTTGCGTTTGCAATTGTACATCTAAAATTTTTCTTTATGTATTATAGGAATTGCTCTACAGTCAATAACAGGCAGTCAGCGTAAGTATATTTAGAAATAAAATGTGTAAATGACTTTTTAACAAGGGATACCTATGAAATTTTTATTTGTTCAGATAAACTAAATGATAAACTATAATTGTGAAGAACTTGGGCCAGGCGCAGTGGCTCACGCCTATAATCCCTGTACTTTGGGAGGCTGAGGCAGGTGGATCACAAGGTCAGGAGATCGAGACCATCTTGGCCAACATGGTGAAACCCCGTCTCTACTAAAAATACAAAAATTAGCCAGGTGTGGTGGCGGGTGCCTGTAGTCCCAGCTACTCAAGAGGCTGAGGCAGGAAAATTGCTTGAACATGGAAGGCAGAGGTTGCAGTGAGCCAAGATCACGCCACTGCATTCCAGCCTGGGCGACAGAGCGAGATTCAGTCTCAAAAAAAAAGAACTTGGAAAATGATGTGATCAAATCACCACTGGTCTGGCTGAATCGAGAATGAGCTTTATTCTGCCTTTGGCTTAGTGCATGTGCTTCAGGGTTTTCCCAAGGATGATGTTCTAACGTTTTACTCACAAAAACTTCAGCAGGCAAAAATACCTTCCTGCTTTCTCTGTTTGGTGTTTAGCGTGTATAACTTTATTTAGTCTGTCTATTGTTTATAGCTATATACTTTTTTTGCCAGGTGATAAGTTGTAATTGTTTAATTTCCATTTTTGTGCTATTTTTTTTAAGTGTAATTAATATTATTCAATTAAAATTATACTTAAAAAAAACACCACCACAGATTTGTTTGGGATAAAATGCTGGACTCTCTGGAGACCAGTCAGACAAAGTCCACAAGTTTTGAGACTGAGTCTCTGGGGCAATATCAAGGAGCAAAGTCTCAAAGAAAAGGTCACATAATAGGGGGCTCACACCCCTCTTATGAAAAAGAAAACAGAAAAAATAGATCTTTTGTCTTCTTTTTCTTTATATTTCAGATATATGTGCTAAAATAATACTAGTTGCATTATTAATAGGATCAAGGTCAGGACATGCAAAAAGTTAGTATTTAGAGTCTACTTATGTTCTAGAGTATCTAATATCTAGAGTCTACCTAAGATTCCAGTAGGTAACATAGCACTCAGGTTCACACTGATTAGTTCCAGGCTGGTGTTTGTACATATTATTTGGTAACTGATAAATGAACATCACATTTTCATCGAGTAATTGAAAAGAGTAAGATATATTTTATTTCTGTTTTGTGAATGTTGCTTTTTTGGGCAAACATTATAACATTGATAAGAAGCTGAAATTGCTTTCATCTAGATTTTGAGAATTTTGTCTTTTATGTTTAGGTATTGAAATAGAAGAGTTACAGAATGAGGAAGAAGAACTAAGTCCACCTCTCATGGAGTACAATATAAATGTGAAATCACACCCTGAGATACAGTTTGCAGAAATTAATAAAGATGGGACCTCAATACCCAGTGAATCTTCAACAGAATCTCTTAAAGATCTCCAGGAAGTATAAGCTCTCATTAATATTTGAGTTAGAAGAACTTATTCTGGGCCTTTAATTTGTTGCATGTGCTGTACTTAAAGCATCCCAGATAATTTTAGCTTATATTTTCATAGTGTTTATACAGAGCTTGAATTGGAATGGTCCTTTCCTTCCTTGCCTCAGTACTTCCTTCCATAATCTTTCCTGCCATAACCATTTATTTTGCCACCATTTCTTAAACACTTATGTGGCAGGCATTATGCTAGACTGTAATATGTTTTTTTAATCCCAGTTGAAGTGGATGTGGGAAGGTATTAGAAAGTAGAAGAAAGTATAGTCTAAAATAGAGAGGAAAGAAAGGAAGAGAAAAGTGGGATATTTCAAAACCATTTGCGCAGAGGTAGAATGAAATTCGTCCAGAATGGAATCTCCGTATTTCTTTACAAATAAGTGGTAACAGTTATTATATAGTCACTAAATTATCCTTAGATCTTTCATCTTATAGGCATGAATATGTTGCTTTTTAAAAAGTGTCTTCCTCCTTTGTTACATCCATGTGTGTAAGTGAGCATCTGTGAACTTTTATCAGTAACCTACTTATTGACATTATGTGTTGTTCCTTTATTCATCAGTGATTATTTAAGGACAGAAGACTAGGATTAAAATAAAAATGATAAAAACAAAAATAATTGTTTCCATAGAATCTAGAAAGAAATACCTATAATATTAGAAAACAAAAGATCTCAGTGGTGAGAGGAAATATATTTTGCAAAATAACCCATTGGGCAATTTGAATTACATATTTAATAAATAATTTTTTACCTACTAGGTTAAGAGTAAACAAAGGAAAAAGAAGAAGACTAAGAATAAAAAGGTAAGAGACTATAATAGCATTATAATACTGATTATGAACACTTGAGTTAAATACATGAATTCATTGTTAGAACTTAAATTAGTTCAAGTAGACATATAGCACAAATGATTCAATAGCTTACTGAGTATATGATTATAGAGAAGTCTACATATGTTATATCCTGAATGATTTTGAAGTACGAAATACAATTTCATACTTCACGTCCTTAAATTGTAATTTATATATTTGCATATATAAATATAGACTGAATTAGTCACATGGAAATTTCATTAATTTCTACATACCACTTATTTTTAAAATGCGTACTCATTGTTTTAAGAACAGCTTTTTGTCATGTCTTTATTGATATGTTTAGAAGCAGCTTTCAAAACTTTAAGAAATCTTGATTTTTTTCTTTATGTCTGAGACTATGCCAAAGATGCAATAATGTGCACAAAAAGGTACAAATACAAACTTCTTGCGTTGCTGCTTCTTTGATTTTGTCAGTTGCAAAATGAACAAGTCAGTATCTAGCACAGTTTTACCAGTGAGTCTCTTAATTGCTAGGAAAACTATAAGGGAAAGCCACATGTCTTTTTTTAATCAAGCATATAGCTAACCACCATGTTATGCAACTTTGTGGTGAAAAAAATTGTTTTCTAGCCTGAAAAATATATTTAAAATCTTGATATATTCTGTATATTATAAATTGAGTGAGAATATTTGCCCAACCACAATCTGGTGAGCCCATGTTGTTAGTCATTTGAAAGTGTAAACAAATTGTAATCATTAATGAAACTTAAGACAATGAAGATAAATTTGTAAAACACGAAGTCAAGATTTAAAAAAGAATTCATATCGAATCTGATAAGTAAAATATCACTATCATTGTTATATTTAACAATCATTTGTTATAACATTTTACTTAAAAGTTATGAAAGTTAAATTTTATTTTTTAAAGACATGAGTATGGAGATTTTTCCTGACTTTTAGACAGTTCTTATCTGATAAAACAAACTAATTTGTTATTTTGATGATATTTTTAATTTTTGCCAAAGTATTGGTAAGTCATGGGTCTAATACTACATAAAACTGGCCAAGTAAATTCACAGCTGTCAAACCACCAAACTAAGTTGCAAAGGCATATAGTGTGTCTTGCCTTTACTGCCATAAAATTAAAATATGGTAATGCTCAAGCTCTCAAATTTTTGGATATAAAAAAGCCTCGTATGGCTGATATATTCATTGGCATAAAGTTGTCATGGGAGGAGCCAAAAGGGAATTTGAGAAATAATCCATTATGCTAGATGTGTTTATTGTGAACAACCAAAAGTCTTTTCAACTCAGGTATTCAAGTACACTAGAGCAAAGGCAGGAGTCAAGAATTCTAAATCATAGAATCAAATTGGTACTGGATATTAAGCATAAGGACAGACACTGAAACACAAAAATCTTAGTATACAGACAAGAAAGCTAAATGAATTTGTATATACAGCATTGTATCTGTAGAGAAGGAGACCCTGAAGTTTCTTGTATGCAAGAGATGGTAGAAAGTAATACTGTAATACTCTTAGTTTAATATGTTAAATGCCATTGATACTACCTTTATTTGGTATGTTGCCTTTATAGTTTTATTTTAATGAACATAAAATTTAGGGCTTTTAAGATTTTTTTCAAATTGTGATCTTCTTAACACTTCTTTTTCTGTGAGATTCTTAACGTATCAGTCTGACTTCTCCTTATATATAGGTTTTCAAGAACGCTTGTAGTGTAGAAATAAATTGGAATTATATACATTGTGTCTAAAGGTATATGAATACGTACAGACACAGCCCCAATACTCACCTCTATCATCTGAATCAGTGATTTTCAAGTCATGTTTCAAGACTCAGTAGTAGATAATAAGACCAATTTAGTAGATCACAACTGCCGTTTTAAAAAAAGGAAATAGGAATTAAAAAAATACTAGAGTTCATCACATACAATATGAGTAAGTTTTATTTCATGGAACTTATATTTCAGTTTTATACTTAGGTATAAAAGTATATGCATAAGTGCATATGACATCATGATATATATTTCTTTAGTTATGATCAAAAATTTTTTGAGAAACACTGACCTAAATGTAATTATATTACTAGTATGTTGTTTTGATATAGTTGATATAGATTACTAATTCTTATGTTATTTTTCAGAATAAAGACTCAAAAGAAGACCAAGTGTAAGTATTAGTTTATTTAATTTTTAAATTTTTCTTAGTATTTTTAAGGCATACTTTCCTAATATGACACAGGCTTCCTTCCTTTGGGAAGTTTTCTCACTAAGAGAAGAAGGATAGTTCCTTGTCTTAATAATTAACAAGTTGCTGCTTTTTTATAGAAAGTAACAAAAAGTTAAATGATCATTTAACATTTAATTATCATTTGCTTTGGAAGAATAGAACCCCTTACCATTTTTCTGTAAGGCTACTTGAGTCATTTTAAAATATAGTCTACATTGTAGTTACACTGTATTTTAGTCTAGACATTGTAGTCTAGACCAAACCTCAACTAAGACCTAATTTTAAAGGATGCATCACTCCTAGGTTTGTAGCCTAGGAGCAGTAGGTTATGCCATATAGCCTAGGTGTGTAGTAGGCTATACCGTCTAGTTTTGTTATGTCCCAGTGACCCCTTTTACCAAAAAGTTTGGCTTTGTTGTTTTTAAGACTTAACCTGCATTTTTTTAATCCAGTTATTCACAGTGAATTTTGAACCTTTAATGGAAACATTTTAATGGCAAAATAATCACTGTATTTTGCATGCATTGTGCATGATTAATAACAGTGTAGTAGATGAAGGAAGGGGTGGAGACAGTCTAATGAAGAGATCATTATTCTTACCAAAAAGTTTGTTAATTGAATAGTAGTAACTTTGGAGAATTCTGAGGATATAAAGTAAGATATCTTTAAAACAGCAGTAAGATCATATTTTGTTAACTTTAAAGCTATCACTTGTAGTTGATATTTTCAATTGATGTGATCCACTTGGTATATAAAATAGTTCATCATTTAAGTTGTGTTTTCACTTTCTTTGGCAACAAGTTGAGCCACTGGAGCAATAGTTTTGTTTTGTTTTGTTTTTAGGCTGTGTCTAAATGCCATAAATATAGCGTAATAAAAATGAAACAATGTCATCAATCACTTTGCCATTTTGCTTACACAGTGGATCCAAATCTGGATGATGATCAGATCATCCAGGAAGCTTTGTCTTTAAATGAGAATTTTCAAATATACACAGAAGTAAAGAGAATAGTATATATACAATAACATATATACCTATAACTCTGATTCAACAATTATTTATGTTTTTCACATTTGTTCCATACTTCCTTTGACATTTTGTTCTTTATTGAAGTGTTTTCAATCCCAAACATCCTTGTAATTTCATCCCTTCATTCTTCAGTTTACATCTTAGAAATATGAACATCTTCCTATATTATCTCAATGCTGTTACTGTATAGTCTTGTACTGCCTAACAACATTTTGATCAAGGACAGACCTCAGATATGATGGTGGTCCCATAAAATTACAATGAAGCTAAAAAATTCCTATTGCCTAGTAGTGGTGTAGCTGTCATAACATTGTAGTGCTATTACTTTACTTTTTATAAATTTAGTGTAGCCTGAGTTTGTGGTGTTTATTATAAAGTCTACAGTAGTATACAATACTCACCTCTCATTCACTGACTCACCCAGAGCACTGTCCAGTCCTACAAGCTGCATTCATGGTAAATGCCCTATACAGGTGTACAATATGTTATGTTTTATATTGTATTTTTACTGTAATTTTTCTATGTTTAGGTACGTTTAAATACAGACATACTTACGTGTTACAACTGCCTATCGTATTCAGTACAGTAATATGCTGTAACAGGTTTGTAGCCTAGGAGCAATATGTGTAGTAGGCTATACCATCTAGTTTTGTGTAGTAACACTCTATGATATGTTATGACAAAAGCGCTTAATGACACATTTCTCAGAAAGTATCCTTGTTGTTAAGCAATGCCTGAGTGTACTTTAAAAAATTTAGGAATAATCTTGGTGAACTTTTCAAAAATACAAATTCATCTATATTTTTACAGTTGTAGGGGTGCCTAGAAACATTTAATTTTTAAAAGCTCTTCAGGTAGTGTAGAAAAGTAATTGAGTTTGAGAATCAATGGTCTACACAAGCAATTGATTTCATCGAACTTTTCAGAATGTTTGGGTCACTCTAGAATACCTCAGTAATACCTAATTACTGCTTATATCGTGTTTTATGAATTATTCCACAAGCATTAATTTCATTTTTTTCTAGATCTCAAAGTGTTCTAAAAAAGTAATAATGTATCTTAGAGTTTCTATTCACTAGTTAAATAGAGTCATATCACACTCTAAGTAAAAATACTCCTATTCTTGTTGCCATTCAAGGAGATTAGGAAGGAAATTTAGAGCTACTAAGTAGTAGGCCAAGTGAAAGGACAGTAGCATGCAATTAAATTTTAGAAAAAAGTGTAGAAATTGGTTAATTGCCATTGTGTGTGTGTGTATATATATATATATATATATATATATATATATATGTAGTATTTTCATTTTTTAAAAGTGGTCTCTGTTAGTAGTGTAGTTACTGAAATCCATGTTGTTACTGTAGTTCTTTTTAAAAGTTCTGTTACAAAAGAAACCTCCATTTTACAGTCTATTTTATGATGCTGTTTTCAACTCTCTATTTAAACATACATTGGACCTAATCACTGAAGTTGCTTAAACCAACCTACTTGTCAAGAAAATTAAGGGGGAACAAAGAATGTTATGATGGTAAAATAATGTAGCAGATGTGGAAATGCTTGCCAATATTTCTGAAAGTACTGTTTTCCAAAGCAACTGATGTAACTAGTTATAATTTGTAAAGTGAACTCTGTAGTGTCATAATTCTTGAAAACAGTGGCATGAACAGAATTAAACAGGTACCTTGATTGAGTGCTACTTTAAATATGCTAATATTCATTATGAATCTTCAAAAGAAAGACTCAGTATGAGCACTATCCAAACTTCCTTTGATCATGAACCCTTCTAATGCTGAGCATCTTATGAAACCAGTACAATACTAACTTTGGAAGCAATAGCTTAGATGAAAATTACTATACAATTGTAAAAGCTCACATTGATTATGTCACGACTACAGCCCATATGTGGTAGAAAAGGAAGAGCAGTTGAGGAAAGAACAAGCAAATCCACACTCAGTCAGTAGACTTATAAAAGATGATGCAAGTGATGTTCAAGAGGATTCTGCAATGGAAGACAAGTTCTATAGCCTGGATGAATTGCATATTCTGGACATGATAGAGCAGGTAAGCATGATTAGAGAGGGTGCCTGCCTTCTCTTATTGTTATCTGGTTTTTCCTGTGACTCTTTAAACAGCATCACCCTTTGAAAAGCCCAGTGGTTTATACTGTTTGTGAGGAGAAAGAGAAAAGCATAAAAGGTAAGGAGGGATATATGAAGGAAAATAGAATAAGGAAAAAAAAGAACGCCTAGGAGCTGGAAACTTCACTTTAGCCCTCAAACCATTTCCTGGCTTTAATTATAGGGCAAAGTTGATTACAAATGCATTTCTTGCAAACGTTTTTCGAATACCACAAAGGAAAAAAAAAGACTAGCATAATCCTACTAGATTACATGTCATGAGAAAAATAGTTTTGTAATATAAAGCTGCTTTCATTTTTAAAAATTAAATATGATTGTTACCATAAAATGTCTACAGAAAATATTGATGTATAATCATTTTTTTTTCTGGCTCCATTCCTGGTAGTTGTCACTGCTTGGAATGATGTACCTATATGTGAAGAGGCATGTGAACATGATTTAAGTGCTCAACAGCAAATGAAATAATTTTTTAAAAAACTATTTTTTTACCTACTAATGAGAATTCAGTGATAACCTGCTCTGCTGTTTAAATATAGTGGTATGTAATATGTAGGAATACTCATTGTCTAAGGGTACAGTTAGTGCAAATGATTCCCTGGCTGATAGTACAACATTCATATAATTGTCATACCTTTTTTCTCCTAATTAGAATATGTACATTTTAACTGAAATGACATATTCTTAGCTTTGGATGTCACACTACAGTTTAAATATGGGATCTCTGGTTTTCATTCTATAGCCATGAGACTATGGGAACTCAAAGATAGAATTAAAATGACACATACCTTTAAAAAAAGTTTATTCATTTATTCAAAACCCATTTATCACCTGCATATTGTGTCAAGAGCTATGCTAAGACAAAGTTTCTACAATCTATGGATAATGTTTACAATCTAGTGGATAAGTTGAACATTAAACTCAGATGATACAGTGTAATTAAGTGTTTGGGCAATTAAGACTGCCTTAGAATGCAGGCTCCTCCACTTACTGTCTATGTGATTTGGGGCAAGTTACTCAATATTTTATCATCTCTAAAATGGAAATAATGACTGCCTATGTCATTTGGTTCTTACAACAATAAAAGCGTTACCCTTACAAAGAAAATGCTAAAGAAATGGTAAGTGGGGGGTGGAGCCAAGATGGCTGAATAGGAACAGCTCCAGTCTACAGCTCCCACCGTGAGCGATGCAGAAGATGAATGATTCCTGCATTTCCAACTAAGGTACTGGGTTCATCTCACTGGGGATTGTTGGACAGTGGGTTCAGGACAGTGGGTGCGGCGCACCGAGTGTGAGCCAAAGCAGGGCGAGGCATCACCTCACCTGGGAAGCGCACGGGGTCAGGGAATTCCCTTTCCTAGCCAAGGAAAGGGTGACAGATGGCACCTGGAAAATCGGGTCACTCCCACCCTAATGCTGCGCTTTTCTGACGGTCTCAGCAAACGGCACACCAGGATATTATATCCCATGCCTGGCTTGGAGGGTCCCACGCCCATGGAGCCTCACTCATTGCTAGCACAGCAGTCTGAGCAAACTGCATGGTGGCAGCGAGGCTAGGGGAGGGGCGTCTGCCATTGCCAAGGCTTGAGTAGGTAAACAAAGCGGCCGGGAAGCTCAAACTGGGTGGAACCCACCACAGCTCAAGGAGGCCTCTCTGCCTCTGTAGACTCCACCTCTGGGGGCAGGGCATAGGCAAACAAAAGGCAGCAGAAACCTCTGCAGACTTAAATGTCCCTGTCTGACAGCTTTGAAGAGAGTAGTGGTTCTCCCAGCACGTAGCTTGAGATCTGAGAACGGACAGCCTGCCTCCTCAAGTGGATCCCTGAACCCTGAGTAGCCTAACTGGGTGGCATCCCCCAGTAGGGGCAGACTGACACCTCACACGGCTGGGTACCCCTCTGAGGCAAAACTTCCAGAGGAACGATCAGGCAGCAACATTTGCTGTTTACCAATATCCACTGTTCTGCAGCCTCCACTGCTGATACCCAGGCAAACAGGGTCTGGAGTGGACCTCCAGCAAACTCCAACAGACCTGCAGCTGAGGGTCCTGACTGTTAGAAGGAAAGCTAACAAACAGAAAGGGCATCCACACCAAAACCCCATCTGTACGTCATCATCATCAAAGACCAAAGGCAGATAAAACCACAAAGATGGGGAAAAAACAGAGCAGAAAAACTGAAAATTCTAAAAATCAGAGTGCTTCTCCTCCTCCAAAGGAACACAGCTCCTCACCAGCAACAGAACAAACCTGGACGGAGAATGACTTTGACGAGTTGAGAGAAGGCTTCAGACGATCAAACTACTCCGAGCTAAAGGAGGAAGTTCGAACCCATGGCAAAGAAATTAAAAACCTTGAAAAAAATTAGACGAATGGCTAACTAGAATAACCAATACAGAGAAGTCCTTAAAGGACCTGATGGAGCTGAAAACCACAGCACAAGAACTATGTGACGAATGCACAAGCCTCAGTAGCCGATTCACTCAACTGGAAGAAAGGGTATCAGTGACGGAAGATCAAATGAATGAAATGAAGTGAGAAGTTTAGAGAAAAAAGAATAAAAAGAAATGAACAAACCTCCAAGAAATATGGGACTATGTGAAAAGACCAAATCTACGTCTGATTGGTGTACCTGAAAGTGATGGGGAGAATGCAACCAAGTTGGAAAACACTCTGCAGGATATTATCCAGGAGAACTTCCCCAATCTAGCAAGGCAGGCTAGATTGTATTCAAACTTAGGAAATACAGAGAACGCCACAAAGATACTACTCGAGAAGAGCAACTCCAAGACACATAATTGGCAGATTCACCAAAGTTGAAATGAAGGAAAAAATGTTAAGGGCAGCCAGAGAGAAAGGTCGGGTTACCCACAAAGGGAAGCCCATCAGACTAACAGCTGATCTCTTGGCAGAAACTCTACAAGCCAGAAGAGAGTGGGGGCCAATATTCAACATTCTTAAAGAAAAGAATTTTCAACCCAGAATTTCATATCCAGCCAAACTAAGCTTCATAAGTAAAGGAGAAATAAAATCCTTTACAGACAAGCAAATGCTGAGAGATTTTTGTCACCACCAGGCCTGCCCTAAAAGAGCTCCTGAAGGAAGCACTAAACATGGAAAGGAACAACCAGTACCAGCAACTGCAAAAACATGCCAAATTGTAAAGACCATCGAGGCTAGGAAGAAACTGCATCAACTAACGAGCAAAATAACCAGCTAACATCATAATGACAGGATCAAATTCACACATAACAATATTAACCTTAAATGTAAATGGGTTAAATGCTCCAATTAAAAGACACAGAGTGGCAAATTGGATAAAGAGTCAAGATCCATCAGTGTGCTGTATTCAGGAAACCCATCTCACGTGCAGAGACACACATAGGCTCAAAATAAAGAGATGGAGGAAGATCTACCAAGCAAATGGAAAACAAAAAAAGGCAGGGGTTGCAATCCTAGTCTCTGATAAAACAGACTTTAAACCAACAAAGATCAAAAGAGACAAAGAAGGTCTTTACATAATGGTAAAGGGATCAATTAAACAAGAAGAGCTAACTATCCTAAATATATATGCACCCAATATAGGAGCACTCAGATTCATAAAGCAAGTCATTAAAGACCTACAAAGAGACTTAGACTCCCACACAATAATCATGGGAGACTTTAACACCCCACTGTCAACATTAGACAGATCAATGAGACAGAAAGTTAACAAGGATATCCAGGAATTGAACTCAGCTCTGCACCAAGCGGACCTAATAGACATCTACAGAACTCTCCACCCCAAATCAACAGAATATACATTTTTCTCAGCACCACACCACACCTATTCCAAAATTGACCACATAGTTAGAAGTAAAGCACTCCTCAGCAAATGTAAAAGAACAGAAATTATAACAAACTGTCTCTCAGACCACAGTGCAATCAAAGTAGAACTCAAGATTAAGAAACTCACTCAAAACCGCTCAACTACATGGAAACTGAACAACCTGCTCCTGAATGACTACTGGGTACATAACGAAATGAAGGCAGAAATAAAGATGTTCTTTGAAACCAACGAGAACAAAGACACAACATACCAGAATCTCTGGGACACATTCAAAGCAGTGTGTAGAGGGAAATTTGTAGCACTAAATGCCCACAAGAGAAAGCAGGAAAGATCTAAAATTGACACCCTAACATCACAATTAAAAGAACTAGAGAAGCAAGAGCAAACACATTCAAAAGCTAGCAGAAGGCAAGAAATAACTAAGATCAGAGCAGAACTGAAGGGGATAGAGACACAAAAAACCCTTCAAAAAATCAATGAATCCAGGAGCTGGTTTTTTGAAAAGATCAACAAAATTGATAGACCGCTAGCAAGACTAATAAAGAAGAAAAGAGAGAAGAATCAAATAGACACAATAAAAAATGATAAAGGGGATATCACCACCAATCCCACAGAAATACAAACTACCATCAGAGAATACTATAAACACCTCTACGCAAATAAACTAGAAAATCTAGAAGAAATGGATAAATTCCTCGACATATACACCCTCCCAAGACTAAACCAGGAAGAAGTTGAATCTCTGAATAGACCAATAACAGGCTCTGAAATTGAGGCAATAATTAATAGCTTACCAACCAAAAAAAAGTCCAGGACCAGATGGATTCACAGCCGAATTCTACCAGAGGTACAAGGAGGAGCTGGTACCATTCCTTCCGAAACTATTCCAATCAATAGAAAAAGAGGGAATCCTCCCTAACTTGTTTTATGAGGCCAGCATCATCCTGATAGCAAAGCCGGGCAGAGACATAACAAAAAAAGAGAATTTTAGACCAATATCCCTGATGAACATCGATGCAAAAATCCTCAATAAAATACTGGCAAACTGAATCCAGCAGCACATCAAAAAGCTTATCCACCATGATCAAGTGGGCTTCATCACTGGGATGCAAGGCTGGTTCAACATACGCAAATCAATAAATCCAGCATATAAACAGAACCAAAGACAAAAACCACATGATATCTCAATAGATGCAGAAAAGGCCTTTGACAAAATTCAACAACGCCTTCATGCTAAAAACTCTCAATAAATTAGGTATTGATGGGATGTATCTCAAAATAGTAAGAGCTATCTATGACAAACCCACAGCCAATATCATACTGAATGGGCAAAAACTGGAAGCATTCCCTTTGAAAACTGGCACAAGACAGGGATGCCCTCTCTCACCACTCCTATTCAACATAGTGTTGGAAGTTCTGGCCAGGGCAATCAGGCAGGAGAAGGAAATAAAGGGTATTCAATTAGGAAAAGAGGAAGTCAAATTGTCCCTGTTTGCAGATGACATGATTGTATGTCTAGAAAACTCCATCATCTCAGCCCAAAATCTCCTTAAGCTGATAAGCAACTTCAGCAAAGTCTCAGGATATAAAATCAATGTGCAAAAATCACAAGCATTCTTATACACCAATAACAGACAAACAGAGAGCCAAATCATGAGTGAACTCCCATTCACAATTGCTTCAAAGAGAATAAAATACCTAGGAATCCAACTTACAAGGGATGTGAAGGACCTCTTCAAGGAGAACTACAAACCACTGCTCAACAAAATAAAAGAGGATACAAAGAAATGGAAGAACATTCCATGCTCATGGGTAGGAAGAATCAATATTGTGAAAATGGCCATACTGCCCAAGGTAATTTATAGATTCAATTCCATCCCCATCAAGCTACCAATGACTTTTTTCACAGAATTGGAAAAAACCACTTTAAAGTTCATATGGAACCAAAAAAGAGCCTGCATTGCGAAGTCAATCCTAAGGCACAAGAACAAAGCTGGAGGCATCACACTACCTGACTTCAAAGTATACTACAAGGCTACAGTAACGAAAACAGCATGGTACTGGTACCAAAACAGAGATATAGACCAATGGAACAGAACGGAGCCCTCAGAAATAATGCCACATATCTACAACTATCTGATCTTTGAAAAACCTGACAAAAACAGAAATTGGGAAAGGATTCCCTATTTAATAAATGGTGCTGGGAAAACTGGCTAGCCATATGTAGAAAGCTGAAACTGGATCCCTTCCTTACACCTTGTACAAAAACCAATTCAAGATGGATTAAAGACTTAAATGTTAGACCTAAAACCATAAAAACCCTAGAAGAAAACCTAGGCAATACCATTCAGGACATAGGCATGGGCAAGGACTTCATGTCTAAAACACCAAAAGCAATGGCAACAAAAGCCAAAATTGACAAATGGGATCTAATTAAACTAAAGAGCTTCTGCACAGCAAAAGAAACTACCATCAGAGTCAACAGGCAACCTACAGAATGGGAGAAAATTTTTGCAACCTACTCATCTGACAAAGGGCTAATATCCAGAATCTGCAATGAACTCAAACAAATTTACAAGAAAAAAACAACCCCATCAACAGGTGGGCAAAGGATATGAACAGACACTTCTCAAAAGAACACATATATGCAGCCAAAAGACAGATGAAAAAATACTCATCATCACTGGCCATCAGAGAAATGCAAATCAAAACCACAATGAGATACCATCTCACACCAGTTAGAATGGCAGTCATTAAAAAGTCAGGAAACAACAGGTGCTGGAGAGGATATGGAGAAATAGGAACACTTTTACACTGTTGGTGGGACTGTAAACTAGGTCAACCATTGTGGAAGTCCATGTGGCGATTCCTCAGGGATCTAGAACTAGAGATACCATTTGACCCAGCCATCCCATTACTGGGTATATACCCAAAGGATTATAAATCATGCTGCTATAAAGATACATGCACACGTATGTTTATTGCAGCACTATTCACAATAGCAAAGACTTGGAACCAACCCAAATGTCCAACAATGATAGACTGGATTAAGGAAATGTGGCACATATACACCACGGAATACTATGCAGCCATAAAAAATGATGAGTTCATGTCCTTTTTAGGGACATGGAAGAAGCTGGAAACCATCATTCTCAGCAAACTATCGCAAGGACAAAAAACGAAACACCACATGTTCTCACTCATAGGTGGGAATTGAACAATGAGAACACATGGACACAGGAAGGGGAACATCACACATCGGGGCCTGTTGTGAGGTGGAGGGAGGGGGAAGAGATAGCATTATGAGATATACCTAATGTTAAATGACGAGTTAATGGGTGCAGCACACCAACATGGCACATGTATACATATGTAACAAACCTGCACATTGTGCACATGTACCCTAAAACTTAAAGTATAATAATTAAAAAAAAAGAAATGGTAAGCATGCCGGTAGTGGTATCCAGCAGCAGCAGCAACAGGCAAGTAACTGGTACTGTTTATTAAATGCTGTAATTGAGGGGAGGTGGGTTTATCTAAATTGAGTGTTTGACTTGAGACAAAAAACGTGAAAGGAGTTAGATGGCAACTTTAAATCCCTTTCAAATAACTAAAATTTTTTTTTGAGGAAAATAATACATGCATATTTCCTGTGCTCAATAGGGCTCAGCTGGCAAAGTAACTACAGACTATGGAGAAACTGAAAAGGAAAGGCTTGCTCGTCAAAGGCAGCTTTATAAATTGCACTATCAGTGTGAAGTAAGTATTTTTGCCATTAGATCTGATGGAAGTGAGAAGTATTTCAAATATTAAACTTACTGGTGCTTTCTGTTTGAAAAGAACTTAGTTTGCTTTTTTCTTTCAATTTCTGGTGACTTGAACATAATTATCTGAAATAATATTTTTTATTGATCAGGATTTCAAAAGACAGTTGAGAACAGTGACTTTTCGGTGGCAAGAAAACCAAATGCAGATTAAAAAGAAAGACAAAATTATCGCATCTCTTAATCAACAAGTTGCTTTTGGAATCAATAAGGTTTCCAAGTAAGTGTAAATCTTTTGATAAAGGGAAATTCTGCGCCGTAATAAACAGTATCTTTAATAGTTAATCTCTGCATAACCACTAGGTGGCACTGTGACTACACATTAGGAACCTCAACCACACGACTGCACTTGTTTAAAAACCAACCATATTTTTGTCTTGCCAACTGGATTGAGAAATAAGCAGCTGCTCACACTATATATCAAGCTTTTCATGTATTGGCTGAACAAGTGTGAAAAGAATAGAATTACATGAGAAAGATAATTAACTTTCAGGTCATGACTCTAATTTGTAAAAATGTGACCAATGATTGGCTGTTTCTATATAGTATATGAGTACATTCCTTAAAGACACCAAGGAATCAGTTGAGTGTATTTTTATGTTGGTCTTTCATTTGTGTTCTAAGCCTGCGAGATTGAAAACAAATCTTTTTGTTTGTTTGTTTGACTGGGAGAGACTCTTTCCCCCCTTACCCCAATCTCTTTTCTCCTAAACCTGAAGTATTAAATGCCTTCAGACCAAAAATTCTGACTGACTTAGGGAAAAATTAGTAACCTGCTTTGTTCTTTTTGTACTAATCACTGCTTCCAACCTGTATTTGTTTAAATAGTAGCATAGTTTGTAGCACATTATTTTAATAAACAGTAATACCATAAGACACCAGCCATCCAAGAAGTCTAGTTTAAAATCCATTGCAGTTTCTAGAATGCTGATAGGGAGAATAGAAAAGTGCTTCGAATGTCTTTGAATGGGGAGTCCAAGATATTTCTTATAAATTGGGGAAATATTTGCCAGAGATTTAGGTCTTAATTTTTCTCTCATATATTGTATCTACTACATGAAGGGGTTATCAGGAAGAACTAGGTGCCATAGTTCTGACAACATAATTTCACTTACAAACATTGTCAGACTTACCCTGACTAGAGTTAGAGAGATCCTTCAAGTTCAGAAGGCTGTGAGGACTTAAGAAAACTTAGACAAACGAAGCTGGCTGCAATCACTTAAGAAACTTTACTTTAGGCCGGATGCGGTGGCTCATGCCTGTAATCCCAGCACTTTGGGAGGCTGAGGCGGGTGGATCACTTGAGGTTGGGAGTTCGAAACCAGCCTGACCAACATGGAAAAACCCCATCTCTACTAAAAATACAAAATTAGCCAGGCATGGTGGCGCATGCCTGTAGTCCCAGCTACTCGGGAGGCTGAGGCAGGAGAATCGCTTGAACCCAGGAGGCGGAGGTTGCAGTGAGCCGAGATCGTGCCGTTGCACTCCAGTCTGGGGAACAAGAGCAAAAGTCTGTCTCAAAAAAAAAAAAAAAAGAAACTGTACTTCAGCATTCAAAACTTCATCTTTTAGCCTAAAGGGGATGACCAGTCCAGAAATATGTCATATAATATCAAAGATTAGAAAAGCATTGCCATCAATGCAGATGAGCTACCTCTCTTCCATCTGAAGATATCCCTCCGCAACTCTTTACCGCTGACCCATGCACTCTTACATGCTTCAGGCTATAAGCAGTCCACTTTTGCTGATGCATATGTCTTCACAAAATGAACATTTCGTGTTGGGCATTCACCAAACATTTATCAAGGGCCTACTATATTAGAAAACTTATGGAAGGCACATGTAGAAGATACCAAGATGTGTGAGACATTCATTATGATCTAATGGAGAGTGTAGATTAACATGTAAGGATAAAATTACATAAAACAGAGACTTCCAGGTCCACCAAAATGTATAGTCCTATTCCTCACAGCTGTTTCTTCTTGAAACTTAAGCACCCTGGATATAGCACAACAGACAAGCATAGGAACACTCTAGAAGACGGAATAAGAAAGCATGCTGTCTAAAGACATTGAGACTTGAGGAATGAGCTGGCAGTAAGTTTTCTCCTTTGCCTCCCATATATCTCGGGACACTGCAGAAGCCTTCAACCTGGAATTGCTAATAAGCACAGGGGGAGAAAAGCCTGTCCCTTCTAGCCAAAGGATCAGTAAAAGGAAATTATAACAATAGAAAGGCTTTTTGACAATACCCACCGTACTGCAGCCACACACCAGTGGCCCCACACCACCCCTTGGAAGTAGGCAGTACATGCTGATTCTCCTACCTAACATAAGTAAGTAGCAGCAATCTTATTTTCCTGCTGGGGTAGTGTTGGCAGTAGTAAGCAAGCAGCTGACTTCCAAGTTCCACTGGGGAGAAGGAGACAGTGCTTTAATTCCTCTGCCAGGATGTGTCAGTGTGGTCCAGCTGAAAGCTGAACCTCTGCTGCTACCCAGCACCAATGTTACTTAAGCCAGTCTGAGACAAAACTAGTCAATACTAGGCTTCATCCTTACTCCCTCTCACTAGGAATTAAGTCTTCACCCATGGGGCTAGTTGGTATTCCCTTTTCCCCCCTTCCCTCAGCTGGTGCCAGAAGGGCACAACAGGGAGCTGAACTTCTGCCTCCACCCTGCAGCAACAAAGTATTGTCAGTCCTTTGCTTTCTCCTTTCCTAATGTCAGCAGGGCCCAGCAAGGAGCTGATCTTATATTCCACTTGGAGGCAAAAAGGCAGTGTGAGCTGGTGCTCCACTTTCATGGGAAGGTGTCAGTTGGACTGGGAGGGGAGCTGAACTTGTACATCTCTCGTCTGCACTGAGGCAGTGTGAGTCAGTGCCCACTTTTCCTGGGGTGCTTTTGGTAGAGCTCAGTGCAAAGCCATGCATACACACCTCCTTGGCTTTTACATTATGCCTCAACAGGAGACTGCCTGCTAAAAATAGGAAGATTAAATAGAACCCAGAGTCTCATAATATTCAAAATATCTAGGCTACATTAGAAAACACAGATCATACCAAGAACCAGGAAATTCAGACAAGAAAGGCAAAAGACCAACAAATGACAATATTAATATTATTCAGATATTGGAATTATCTGACAAAGATTTTAAAGCAACCATCATAAAAATGCTTCAACAAAATTGAATAATCTTGAGACAAATGAAAACCTAGAATATCTCAGTAAGGAAATAAGTTATAATAAAGAATGAAAATTATATACTAGAAAATACAGTGATTGAAATTAAAACTTGCTGGATATAATCACTAGTAAAGTGGAGATGACAGAGGATTGAATCAGTGAACTTGGGGACAGATGAATAGAATGAACTCAATCTGAAGAACAAAGAGAAAATAGACTGGGAGAAAAAAATTAAAAAGAGTCTAAAGGACCTTTGAGCCAATAACAAAAGAGCTAAAGTACTTGTCACTGGAATTTCAAAAAGAGAGCAGAATGAGAGAGAGACTGAAAAAGTATTCAAAGAAATACTGAAATTTCCCCAAATTTGATGAAATGTATAAATTTACAAATTCAGAAACTAAGTGAACCCCGAATAGCAAAAACTCAAATCCATGCTAAGACACATCATAACTTAACTTCTGAAAACAAAAGACAAAGAAAAGGCTTGAAAACAGGCAGAGAAAAACATTACTTATGAGAACAGTAATTTGAATGACAACAGATTTTTCGTTTGAAACCATGAAGGCCAGAATGAAGTGGCAGTTTATTCAATTACCGAAAGAAAAGAGCAGAACCATGAATCCTGTATTTAGCAAAAAATATTCTGTAGGAATAGAAGGAAATAAAGACAGTCTCAGACAATGGAAAATTATAAGAATTTATTGCTAGCAAATTCATATATCTTACCGTTAAAGTATGGCTATAGGAAGGTCTCTAAACTTTAAAAATATATATATAGTAGAAGCTTGAGACTTCAGAAAGGAAAGAAGACCATCAGAATGAGTAAAGAGTAAGATAAATAATAAGAAGTTGTCCTAATTAATTTCTTAAATCATATTTGATGGTTGAAGCAAAAATTTTAACACTATCTCGTGGAATTCAATGTATGTAGAAGAAACACCAGTATATTTGAAAAGTGAGGAGGGTAAAGGCACCTAAATGAGAATAAAGCTAGGGATATATCATGCAGATGTTTATTAAAAAAAAGTAAGAATGGCTATATTAAAATCAGATTAAATGGACTTCAGAAGAAAGAAGACTGTTGGACACAAAGAGGGACATTACATAATGATGAAAGGATCAATCCACAAGAACCTCAAGGTATATGTACCAAAAACAGCCTCAAAACACATGAAGTAAAACCTGATAGAGCTGAAAGGAGAAATGGAAAAGTTTACCATTATAATTGAACACTTCAAACTCCACTCTCAATTTATAGTACTACTAAACAGAAAATCAGCAAGGATATAGAAGACCTCAATAACCACCATCAACCAGCAGGACCTAACTGATATTTATAGAACACCCCACCCGACAACAGTAGAATACACATGCTTTCAAGTGACCACAGGATGTATCTACCAAGATAGACAATAACCTGGGCCATAAAACAAACCTCAACAACAAATTTAAGAGTTGAAATCATACAAAGCATGTTCTCAGGTCACAATGGAGTCAAATTAAACATCAGTAACGGAGAGATACCAAGAAACCTCCAAAGGCCTGGAAACTATGCAACCCATGTCTAAATAATCCATGGGTCAAAGAAGAGCTCTCAAGAGAAAATACATTGAATTTACATGAAAATACAATATGTCAAAATTTGTGCCACATAGCTGAGGCAGTGCTGAGATTATAACACTAAATACACACATTAGAAAAAGAGAAAAGTCTTCAGTGGATAATCCAAGCTCTCACTTCAAGATCCCAGAAAAAGAAAATCAAAATAGACTCAAAGCAAGCAGGAGGAAATAAGTTATAAAGATTAGAAATAATGGGAGCAGGATGCAGTGGTGCACACCTGTAGTCCCAGCTACTTGAGAGGCTGAGATGGGAGGATTGCTTGAACCCAGGAGTTACAGTTCAGCATGGGCAACATAGCAAGGCTCCATTTCAAAAAAAAAAGAAACTGAGAAAGAATGAGTTGGAAAAAGAAAAATAGTAGAGAAAATCCATGAAACAAAAAGCTGTGTCTTTGAAAAGGTCAATAAAATTGACAAACCTCTAGCAAGACTGACAATATAAAAGACATAAATTACTACCATCCGGAATGAAACAGTGATATGTATCACTGCAAATACTACAAACACTGCAGACATCAGAAGATTATGCTGATTGAAAAAAGCCAGTTCCAAAAGCTTATATATGTTTCCATTTGCTGAACATTCTTGAAATGACAAAATTATAAAAATGGAAAACAGATTAGTGGTTCCAAGGTTATAAGAAGGGGATGAGAGTGGAAGGGAAGTGGTTGTGGCTTTAAAAGGGCAAAATGAAGGATCCCTGTGGTGATAGAACAGTTCAGTATCTTGACTGTATTACCATCAATATTCTGGTTATGGTATTATACAGTAGTTTTGCAAGATGTTACCATGGGGAGAAATTGGGGAAAGGATACATGGGTTCTTTGTGTATTATTTCTTATACACGCATATGAATTTACAATTATCTTGAAATAAAAAGTTTAACTATTTTAAAAAGTACATAATGAAAAACTGTCAAACAAGAGTATACTTAGTGGAAATTTTGTAGGGTAGAGAGAATATTTTTTTGATTGTTGTGATAAGGAACTTCCTTCAATGAAGAACTTTGTTAAAGACATAGTACTGAACCTAGGCATTGAAGGTTAGGTGGGATGAGATGGAAGAAAAGACAGGGCATCAAGGCAGAATGGACATAATGACTACTCTGTGTTCTCATATAAGCTTTTGAACGTTTTCTTCGTTTAATTCATCTGAACATTGCCCAAGAGTATGTGATAAAATATAAATATTCTTTAATTGTAAATGTTGGCTTCTTTCATCTTAGAATATGGAGATTAGAAAGCAAAAATGGTGTGGTTTTTTGGCCTAATTCAATTTGGTATGTGCAGTAAATGTTTGGCAAATATTTGTTGATGACAGTTGAAGTGTTAACAAAGAAGATTTTATGGAAGTGACTTAACTTTGGATAAACTACAATAAGCAGTTAGTAATATGTCAAGAAACTGCTGTCAACAGTCTATAATAAAACTTGATAGTCAGCTAGAGTTAACTTGAGAACTTTAGATTTTTTAGAAAGAAAATCTAGTAATTTCATTCTGTTATATTAAACATGAGAAAAAGACTGAGAAGTTAAGACTGCCTGAACATACGTAGCTGACTCTTATCTGAGCTGGATAATAAGAACTATGCCTACCTTATCCTCTGTTGTTTAAGAGTCTAGGTGTTCTGAATTCCCCACTAGTTATGTCTACTCTTATTGCCCACTCTAAACTAGAGCTGGGTAAAATATTGAAGTAATGGAAGTATACAAAGGAAAACAAGATGGCAGTCTTACAAATTTTACTGCTTTTCAACTCTGTCAACATATTCCTATATATTACAGTAATGAAGCTTGTATTTCTTAATATTTCACTTGAGAACATGACCTCTTTTGTACAGAAAGAGACCTGGTTTCTTTTCACTGCATTCTCAGACCAACAAAACATTAACTATAAGTCTCTAAGTCTTCTAAGAAGCTTAGAATAAAGGTGAATGGGTAGTCTCTGAAATCTGGTAGTGAGCAATCCATCCAACATTAAAGTCGTCATTTCAAAGATGTATTATTCCAACCAAAACTCTTCCATTTATCCCAAGAATTTCAACATATTAGAGACTTAAAGAGAAATGTGCTTTTATTATAAATCTTTTCATATTGAAGTTAATTACTAGGTTTATGTAAAAGCTTGCTTGTGAAAAGAAATACAGCAGCATAAGGGAGGAACATCAGAAATCTGGTATGTGAATATATGTCAACCAAAAAGTATATGCGTTTCTCTTAGTTTCTTACATATTAATTTTGAAGCTGATCACAGGCTATAGATTCTGATTTATACAAAATTTTTACCCATTCTTTCCATGATAAGATCATGTGAGTGACCCCCAGGTGATAATTCATAGTTTTAATTAAAATTTGCATTTGTACACAGCCTCATCACTTCAATATTTAAGGTTTGATTTCCTTTAGACCTTAAATCTTTCATAATTTGCATGACTTGATATAATACCACTTTAAGGAACTTAAAGTTCTCAATCTCACAACAGGCTTAGAAAATCAGAAGATACCATCTCTGTTTTCTAGTAGGTAAGCTGAAGCATGAAGAGCTAGAGACATTTTTCCAAGTCATTGCACTGAGATGCAAGATAACACTTCTCTTTTGCTTTCTAATTTACTGAATTAGAACTTAGTTCCCCTTTCTTTGGGAAGTCAGTAAATCAGACATCAGAAACAAGATACATTTCAAAAGGACCAGGTATAGGAGTTCAGTTGTATTCAGGCTCAAGATTTGTGGCCCCAAATGGACATACTTTATCTCCTCCACAGCTGTAGTTAGAGCTCTTCTGACTGTGTTAATGAGAAATAATTTCTAACATCTTTTGACTTTCTTGCTTGTTTGCTTAGATTACAGCGTCAAATCCATGCTAAAGATAATGAAATCAAGAACCTTAAAGAGCAACTTTCTATGAAAAGGTACAAACTTAGCTTTTTCTTTGGGTGCACTCTCTCTGAAACTGTATTTCACTCAACACTTTCTGGCTGGCATATTGATGTAATTTATCATTCAAACCGGGGTACTTTTGAGGCTGATATTGAACAGTACTAATAATACACTGGGACAAAAGGTGTAAACTGGGAGTATCTTAGGCAAATAGGGAGGTATGGTCACTTTAGCTCTGACTCTAGAAAACTGCTAGAAGAATCTGTATCAGCAAAGTTACAGTCCCAGAGCAAACTACTGCCAGAGATTAGACCTTAAGAGTTACCCCAGTCAGTACTATTAGATGTGACTGCTTTATGAAACTGGCCAAGTTTTATTCTTATTCATCTGTTTTGCCTGTGGGAAATTTTTTTAATAACACCTTTTTGAAATCCATTTCATACAGCATAAAATTATCTCTGTTAAAATATACAATTTATTGATTTAGAATATTCACAGAGGTTTACAGTCATCACCACTATCTATTTCCAGAACATTTTTATCACTCCAAAAAAGAAACCCATTAGATGTCATTCCCTATTCTCCCCTCCTCTAGCTTCTGGCAACTGCTAATTTATTTTCTGTCTGTATGGATTTGCCTCTTTTGGACATTTCATATAAATTGGATCATATAATATGTAGCCTCTTGTGAGTAACATTTTTCACTTAACATAGTTTCAAAATTCATTCATGTTGTAGCATGTATCATTACTCATACCTTTTTATGGATAAATAATATTCCATTCCTTGGCTATACCTTATTTTATTTTTCATCAGTTGATGGACATTTGGCTTGTTTCCATTGTTTGGCTATTATGAATACTGTTATCAATATTTATATACAGATTTGTGGACATGTTTTTGTATTTCTTGGGTATGTACCAAGGAGTAGAATTGCTTGGTGATCAGTCAACTTTATGTTTAACTTTTTGAGGAATTGCCAAACTGTTTTCCAAGTAGCTGCACCATTTTATAATCCTATAAACAGTGTATGAGGGTTTCAATTTCTCCACATTCTGATCAACATTTGTTACACTTGTTAGATTACGTCTTTATTTTACCCATTGTATTATGTGTGAAGTAGTATATAAATGTGGTTTTGATTTGCATTTTCCCACTGATTAATTATGTTGAGCATCTTTTCATGTGCTTATTGGCCAGTTATTTATCTTCTTGGAGAAATGTCTATTCAAATCCTTTGCCCATTTTAAAAATTAGATTGTCTTTTTATTGTTGAGTTTTAAGAGTTCTTGTCCCTTATCAGATACAAGTCCCTTATCGGATACATGATTTTCAAATACTCTCATTCTTTGGGTTGCCTTTTCATTTTCTTAATGTCATTTAAAGCACAAAACTTAATTTGATGAAGTCCGATTTGTAATTTTTTTCTTTTAGGCAACTTTTACATAATATTTAATGGTATAATAATTAATTCCTTTTGTGTTAATATATCTGCTTGAAGATTTTATTTTTTTCTCCTCAAAAAAGTCTAGCCTTAATGATATTTATAATGTACTGTTATCAAGTTTCTCATCAATGTTTGTTAGGTCCTCAAGTATCCAAGTGTTTCTGATAATAAAACATCGAGGACTGCCTTTGTGACAGTCTCTATTATAATGCCGTATTTTCAATTAATTGTTTTCATTAAATTTAGAATTTGGTTTGTATGCTTATAGAATTCTGGGACTCAAGTGTAGGAAGCTGAGATGGGATAGATTAAAAAAGGAACCTCATAGGTAACCATTTACCTAATGTCCTTCATAAACAATGTATTTACCATCATCTTCCTCCTTCCCTCTCAAACTGTAGGGTTTGCTTTCATTCAAAAATGTTGAATGTAAGCACTGAAATAACCAGTCAAATATTTTAATGCAGTAACTTCACGTAATGACGGGGATAATAAAAACCTATGTGGTTGCTATCATTGGGATACAAAAAAGCTTATAGAAATTTTATGTAGAACTTATTAATCATGATACTAGCTAACATTTATTTATTAGTGCTTATTATGTGCCAAACACAAAGTGCTTTATATTATCTGAATTAATTTTCACAGCAGCTCTTTGAGGTAAGTAGTACCGTTTTTTCCATTTTCCTCATTTTTACATGTGAGGAAACTGAGGTATAGAGAAATTAAATAGCTTGCTGTCTTAGGTTGAACTGCTCTGTCAAAATACCATTGATTGGGTGGCTTATAAAAATAGAATTGTATCTCTCACAGTTCTGGAAGCTGGGAAGTCCAAGATCAAGGTAGCAGCCTATTTGGTATCTGGTGAGGATCCTCTTCCTCATAGACAGCCGTCTTCCCACTATAACTTCACATAGCAGAAGGCAGGCAAGGAAGCTCTCTCAGGCCTTTTTCAAATGGGCATTAATTCCATTCATTGGAGTTCCGCCCTTATGACTGATCATCTTCCAAAGGCACCACCTCCTAATACCATCACTTCGGGGGTTAAGATTTCAACATATGAGTTTTGGGGGAACACAAACATTCAGTTCATTGCACTTGCCCAGGGGTTTTACAGTTAATAAGTTGTGGAGCTAAGATTCATCCTCAGACAACTTGATTTCACAGCTAAGTTTTAAATCATAGCCTACACCCTGATAAAACTTCTATACTCTTGATAGTAAAGGATAACAGTAGGGATTGAACAATGTATCTTCTCTTGTTTCTATGTGCTCTATACTTTTCCAAGAAATAATTTCCTACTGATTGTATAACTTATCTTTCTTCCTCCTGAATTAGATGAAAAAGGCTCTGCTTGATGTAATATTGCGAGTCTTTAATGATCATGTATTTCAGATCTCAGTGGGAAATGGAAAAACATAATCTGGAAAGCACAATGAAAACATACGTAAGCAAACTGAACGCAGAAACTAGCAGAGCTTTAACAGCCGAGGTAACAACAAAACGGGGACAGGGGTATGGGGTGAGGGGAAAAGTTTTACTTGTATACCATCATACTAAAGAATTTGTAAAAGATTGTTTTTTGTATAAACAGAAATAAGACATCTTAGGATCAGCCAGGAAAATACAGTTGAAAGTCTTGTGCTTTTTTGACTCATTGGCAAATCATGTGTGAATACTTCAGTTTTGATGTTCTTATGTTGTTTTCTGCCAATGACTTGAAGAAATTGGTCTGTTACAGTATGTATAGCAAATACAGACATCTTGGGGAAATTCTCATGAAGCCAAGTCACTAAGCCAAACTTCTAATAATAGCATTTTACTGCTGCCACAATATCTTCTTTGCTACTTCCAATATATATCTTACAAAAATACTTACACATCATACACCTGAATGTAAAAAACCAGCTTTTCAGACTGCCAGCTTTTTCTAAGTTAGAACACCACAGCTAGGGTCTCTCAAAAGAAATATGATTGTATGTGTGTATGTAATTTTTATTTATACATAACAAAACTTGATATACAGTAAGATTCACATTTTTGGAGAGATCACTGACATTAAAAGCACTACAAACCTTACACCTCTGTCATGGGTAAGCTCTGTTCTCTAGCAGAGTACTTGGGATCCTGGAAGTCAGCAACCAAGAAGTAGTATCTGAACCAAAAATTCGTGAAGAATACTGTTGGGGTACTAGCTTTAACAAAAGAAACAGTTCAGATTACTTTAAAAGCTCGTTTGTATAGAGTGTTTTTTATTGTTTTTAATCAGTAAATTTCTTTGTGCTTCTATTATTAATTTTAGAAAGAACTTTTTAATACTTAATGCTGTCCAACAGTGTATTTTAGTGAATACTGAGTGTTTAGTAGTAAAAAACAGAGGCTAAATTACTGCAAGTAGTGATATGGAAAGGATTCCTGCTGCGAGAGAGACACTGAACTACGTAATCTCCCAAGCCCGTTTCTGTCTTTCTGTATGGTCTTATTATTACCTCTTCATCAATGACAAAAGAATAGATAGCAGGAGTGTTCTCAAACTTTACTGCATGTTAGAATTATCAGAGAGCTTTTAAAAATGCCAATGCCCAAGCTATACTCAGTATCAATCAAATTAGAATATCTGGGACCAAGGCACCATTTTTGAAAGTTTCTGAGACGATTCCAGTATGATTACAAATTTGAAAAGACATGATCTGGAATGTTTACCAACCTAGTAACCATTAAATAAGGAAATTAGAATTGCAGAGGTGGCATTGATTTAAAAGCTTTTGTAATGTATCTTGAATGGTCAAGGAACCTAGATGCTATTGGAAGAAATTGAGAAATAGCTTTAAATTTACTTGAGATGATTGAGAAGAGAATGTTCCTTTACAAGCACACCTTCAACTTCTTTCTCTTTCTCTCAAAAACCTGTAGGTGTATTTCTTACAGTGTCGTAGGGATTTTGGTTTGCTTCATCTAGAGCAGACTGAAAAGGAATGTCTCAATCAGCTTGCCAGGGTGACTCACATGGCAGCAAGGTAACCTTTCCCTCTTCCTTAATGCATCTTAATTTTAGAGATGTTAGCAAGTGTCTCCACGGTTGAATATAATCTGTGATGTGTTTTACATATGTGACATCAGAGTTCTTAAAGAAGCTCTTGTGGTTTTTTTGGGTTTTTTTTCATTTTTTTCCCCCTGAAATTCCTTTTACCAGAAGCTCTTGTTGTTGTTGTTTTTGTTGTTGTTGTTTAAACCTCAAAAGTCATTTAGTTACTTTGATGCTTGTACTTGGCTGCTTCTGCTGAAGCACTGAGAAGTCTAATGAGTACTATGTACAATAATAGCTGCTGAAAGATTTTTTCCCTTCCTCTGTAGTGAAGTAGATCAAAAGTCTCAGAGACATACGTGAACACCAGATACTTATGAAACAAGGTGGATTCTAATTGGAAGACTTTTTTTCTAATTGTTTTCCTTTGTAATGATTTTAAACACCTACAGAATATGTTGAGGGAAACATCAGTATTAACACCTAAATCGTATGTTAAAGGTAGTTTTCTGCTGTGCTTTTATAGTAATTATAGAGTAATTTTCAAATATTGAACAGGTTGCATGAAATTCTCCTTAAATTTATAATCTCATGGGGTACACCAAACTTAAAGAATTAATTAAATTAGAATCTCTGGGACCCAGGCATCATTATTTTTAAATGATTATTATTTTAATAATCAGCATTGTTCTTTCATTCTAAAGAATCAGAGTCTTTGATGTTAGCTAGATTATCAGGATATACTGATGTGCACTCAAGTCAGGGAAGTACTGTTGTAAATGATCAGTCTATTTTTGCTTGCTAGAAGAAGAAAGAGTGCTCTATACATTAGGATATTATGGAACTTCTTTGTATGAGATTATGTTAGTGATAACTTGTTCAGCTCTTATAAAATTGTTGGGCTGGGTGATACTGGCGTGGGATGTTATAATGGATAGAACCTTTTAAAAGGCCATATGAAATCTCTTTTCTAGAGATAATAGACCCTAACAACTTCAAAGTTGTTCCTACTTTTGTTAAGTCATTTGGTAGGCATGAGTTGATAAAACTATTGTTTGTGCAATTTATGTACTATATAAAGGCAGCAACCTCATTCGTACTCAAATAGAAGATATTTCTAATTTATCCTCCCAGAGACAGTATCTTTTTCTAATTTGCAAAGGAGCCATATAGGCCAACCATGGCTTTTTGATGTCAGAGTTAATGTGAAGATAGTCCAAAACTTGCTTCCAACATGGGTCAACATTTTAGAGAACACTGCTGTATTAGATTACTAAGGCTTTCCTGCTTCATTGGAAAGATTCCTTACAAAGGTTTTATAATATATACTAAAAAGACATCATCAAGATAGAAAAAACTTGTTCTGGAAGCATCAATTTTATTTGCTTGTGAAAAATGAATTTTTTATTACTGTTTTTGTTATTTTTAGTAACAAACCTGTCCATACCTCTTTATGTCCATTTGAAGTAATTGTTGGTGATGGGGGTAATTTTGTTTTTTGTTGACATATATGCTAGAAAGCGTGATAGACATGTTTGGAAACCTAAGTGTTATAAAAAGAAAGAGTTTTCTTTTGTGTCTCCTTTTCTACAACAGCAACCTAGAATCACTTCAATTAAAGGCTGCGGTAGACAGTTGGAATGCCATTGTGGCAGATGTTAGAAACAAGATTGCATTCCTCAGGGTAAGTCCTGAAGTATATTTGGAGAAAATTGGCTTAATGTTATAGGTGGTGTAAAGTTAGAAGACATATTAGTAGAAAAATTTAAGGAAGAACATATTTTCCATTTTAGTTATAAAAGTTTATGCCTTCACTTTGAGATTACTTCCATGTGGTTGGTTGTAGATAACATCCTAGACTCACACGTGTAGTCTTTTATATCCTTAGTCAAGAAAATAAACTCAAAAATTGTGCCCTCACACCTAGCTTTCCTAGAATTTCAAAGCTAACAGTGCCCCAATCAAAACTAAATGTTTTGGCCAGGCATAGTGGCTCATGCCTATAATCCCAGCATTTTGGGAGCCAAGGCGAGAGGATCACTTGAGCCAGGTGCTCACGGTTATGGTGAGTTATGATCATGCCACTGTACTACAGCCTGGACAATAGAGTGAGACTCTCTCTAAAACAAAATTTGGAATAAAAACTAAATGTTTTAATGCGGTCTGAGTAATAATGTGTTTACAGAATAAAAAAGAAAATCAAGTAGGCCTGTATTTGTTTTCAATCTAACTTTTTATGTAATTATTCCATAATGCAAAATAGTAAATTCTTAAGTACTGGTGTAGGACCATGCTACAGGTAATCTAAAGACATAATCCACTGAATATTTATTAATTGATTTTGTTTTAGAATCTTTTTATATTTATATACTAAGGTTGATAGATAATGTTGATTTTTTTGTGATTTCACAACACTATCAGCAAAAAAAAAAGCATTGTCATTCAGTTGTGAAGTGCCAAAAGCAACTGGATATTTGTCCAACTCCCTTGGGGGTTTTCACTGTTTCTCTCCAAACTCTTTCTTACTCAGTCTTTAGTGATGCTTAGCGTTTCTGTTGGGTTTATTCAAAATTTTTGCCTCAAAAGACCTGCCCCATGTTTTCTTCCAAGCACATGTCCTCCATGCAGAAGTTTCTAAATGTTTTGTTTTATAAGACTTTCCTTCCCAGTTCCTACGCGTTCTTTACAAAATAATATGGTAAGCAAAAGTGGGGACAATGCCAAAAAATGTTGAAAATGTGTTGTTAAACTTCCAGGTTGGAGTTTTTGTCAGAATCCAAGAGAATAAAATGTGTATGGAGCTAGAACAAGCTAGAGTTACAGATTGTGAGATAAACACAATGTAGAATTTCATAAGTAATCTCTAAAATTTTTCCTTCCGTTTTTAAAATGAACATTTGCAAGTAGTTTAACTGCTTGTTACAAATATATTTTTTCCTGTTTTTTAGCCAGTATAATATTTATAGCTTCTTGAATCTTTAGTCTCTTTTTTTATTTGTATCAGTGGTTCCTATTTTAGAGCTGAAAATTTTGGAAGCACTGAGGAATTATCACAAGAATCTGTGAATTATCTGTGTCTCTGTTTCTTATTAACCAATAACGACTCCTAAAAATACAACTGTTTACATGTGGGGATGGTCTATAGAATTTTTTTTTTTTTTTGGTCAGAACCTGTTTTTATATTATTTCTGACAGGTTGGCAACCACTCTTGTATGTTGTATTATTCAAAACTACATCAGATATTCCCATATGCTGTCTCTTTAAAGTTGGTTGTTCTCTAAAGTATTTTTAGTCTTCTTCTACCAGACACAGTACAATGAACAAATAAACAAAGTCAAGCAAGGATTTGCCTTGAGTACCTTGCCTCCAGTCCAGCTTCCTCCTCCACCACCCAGTCCTGAGATACTGGTAAGAAATACAACATTTTGAATAATTGCCCTTTTCATTTTGACAAAATGGTAAGGGCTGTGAAACACTGAATATGCAGTATGTTTAACGTGTGTTCAAAATGGAATAGGCACATATTGTGAGTATCACTTGTAATTATGACCATACCTTCGAGTCACCAGATGATATAATTAGATGGGTGAGGCCTATACAATAGGTTGTATCACTGGATTTTAGTGAAGCATTTGATATACATAGAGTAATATTTTCTCATTCACCCTATTTCACCTACCTTGTGGGAGCTAAATAATGAATACTCAGACTTCCCAGTGTCCTCATGTTACCACTAGATCAGAGGTCCCCAACCTCTGGGCCACGGACCAGTGCACAGCAGGAGGTGAGCAGTGGGTGAAGAAGCAAAACTTTATCTGTATGTACAGCTGCTCCCCATTGCTCACATTACCACCTGAGCTCTGCATCCTGTCAAATCAGCTGCAGCACTAGATTCTCACAGGAGTGTGAACCATATTGTGAACTGTGCATGTGAAGGATCTAGGTTATGTGCTCCTTGTGAGAATCTAATGCCTGGTGATCTGTCACTGTCTCCCATCACCCCCAGATGGGACTATCTAGTTGCAGAAAAACAAGCTTGGGGCTCCCACTAATTCTACATTATAGTGAGTTATATGATTATTTTATTATATATTACAATGTAATAATACTAGAAATAAAGTGCACAATAAATGTAATGTGCTTGAATTCTCCCAAAACCATCTCCACTCCCCAGTTCTTGAAAAAATTATCTTCCATGAAACCAGTCCCTGGTGCCGAAAAGATTGGGGACCGCTGCACGAAATGACTGAAACATCTCAATGTAATACCCTGCATGGCTGGACCTCACCTCTGCATTTCTACTTTAGACTTTCTTTTTGTGAAGTTTTATATTCTATTCTACCTCCAACAGCAAGGACAGCTTCCACTTCTGCCCCTTCTCTGCTTGTTGTTAGGGGCCAGTGGATCTTAATCAGATAAACTAATCCCTGTCCTGTATGTCTGGGAAACATAGCACCCTAACCCAGTAAATTCACACAGCTTTCCAAAAGACCTTTTAAGAGGGTGTCATTGGATGACAATTTTTATTATCTTAAGAGATCTGGCAGTAGGAAGAGAGGAAAAGTGTAAGTTATGTGGGGACAGATGACTTTGATATCACCACTCCTGCTTATAATAGAAACCTGAAAATGTTATTTCTCCTCATGGTTGAGTATAACAAAGAATTTAAAAATTATATAATTTGTATGGAGTTACACTGTTTCAAAAGCAGGATCTATAGCTAAAAGAATTATGGGATATACATCATGGGCTTTAGTTTAGAATGATAGTTTTGCCTTTTATATTTTTGGTCAATTCAGTTTCTATAGGAACACTGGATTATGAGCATTATTATTCTAGGCTTGGATCATCATCATACCCAACTACTCTGATAAGGAATGTGTTCCAGAGAAATTCCAAAGATTCCCTGCAGTAACACATATTTTTTTGTGGGATGTCTAAAAACACTGTACCTTCTGCCCACATTCAAAATACTGTCCTTAGATTGTAGTTAAATTCTTCAATGGCTCTTAACTATAAAATGGGTCCAGAGACTGTGAAGCTGTTGTTTGGAGTTTCCTGGAACCAGACCAGTATAAGCCTTGGCTGTCTGATACAAGTGATATTCTTTAGCTGACAAACATAGTCAAACCTTGACCTCCAGACCCTCCAGATCCTTTTATCCCTTTGGAGACTTTCTTATGTCTGACATGTCTTACCCGGGTTTAGTTAAGTACAAAAACCTACTGGCAGTTAGGCTGTGTGGTAATTTATAAGCATCCTTTGCTAACATTCTGAGGGGTTCACCTGTATCTTTTGTGCTTCCTAATTAGGGTCACTGCTGTGCTTGATTAAGCTAACAGTTGTGTTAAAGTACAAGCATTGGTGACCACTGAGCATCAGAGGAGAGAGTTTGGGAGAAGAGCACCTAGAAACGTTACAGTGCTATTTGCTGTAAATTGAGATGGTACCTACAATGGAAGTACACTAATGAGGTCTGGGTTCAGATCCTAACTTTGTGAAGAGCTATGTTGATCTTGGGAAAAATCAGCTCTTCTGGACTTTTGATTTCCCATCAGTGAATTAGGAAATTGTACTGGATGATCTGATCACTCAAGTCCCATCTATTTCTGGGATACTAGTGTTCTAAGGAGTGGTCACCAGACTTCCATAGTAGAGACTTCTATGAAAGTGTGGATTGTTCCCAGTTTAACCCAGTAATTCTATGTGTTTCATTGTATCTTGATTTTTGTAGCTTGGCTATTTAATCCTCAGAGAAGTGTTAGTACCATTAAAAAGATCATGCAATGGTTATTTAAAATACACAAATCAGTAAATATGATACATCATATCAACAGAAAGAAGGACAAAAACCATATGATCATTTCAATAGATGCAGAAAAAGCATTTGACAAAATTCAACGTCAGTTTATGATAAAAATTCTCAAAAAATTAGGTATAGGAGGTACATACCTCAACACAATAAAGGCCATATATGACAAACCCACAGCTAACATTATACTAAATGGGAAAAAGTTAGAAGTGTTTCCTCTGAGATCTGAAACAAGACAAGGATGCCCACTTTCACTATTTCTATTAAAAATAGTACTAGAGGTCCTAGCCAGAGCAGTTAGGCAAGGGAAGGGAATAAAAGACATCCAAATTGGAAAGAAGGGAGTCAGACTGTCCCTTTTTGTAGACAAATGATCTTATATATAGAAAATCGCAAAGACTCCACTTAAAAACTCCTAAAACTAACAAATTTGGTAAAGATTCAGGATTCAAAATCAACATACAAGAATCAATAGCATTTCTGTTTACTAATAGTGAACAGTCTGAAAAAGAAATTAAGAAAATCCCATTTACAATAGCTACAAAAAACAAAGATACCTGGGAATAAATTTAACCAAGGAGGAGAAAGATCACTACACTGAAAACTATCAAACATTGGTGAAAGAAATTGAGGACACAAAGAAATGGAAAAATACATCATATTCATGGATAAGAAGAATTCAAGGAAATGCAAACCAAAATTACAAGGTATCACCTCTCTTTAGTTAGAATAGCTACTGGTACCAAAACAGATATATAGACCAATGGAACAGAACAGAAGCCTCAGAAATAACGCCACACATTTACAACCATCTGATCTTTGACAAACCTGACAACAACAAGCAATGGGGAAAAGATTCCCTATTTAATGAATGGTGTTGGGAAAACTGGCTAGCCATTTGCAGCAAAAACTGGAACCCTTCCTTACACCTTATACAAAAATCAACTCAAGATGGATTAAAGACTTAAATGTAAGACCTAAAACCCTAAAACCCCTAGAAGAAAACCTAGGCAACACCATTCAGGACATAGGCATGGGCAAAGACTTCATGACTAAAACACCAAAAGCAATGGCAACAAAAGCCAAAACTGACAAATGGGATCTAACTAAAGAGCTTCTGCACAGCATCAGAGTGAACAGGCAACCTACAGAATAGGAGAAAATTTTTGCAATCTTATCCGTCTGACAAAGGGCTTATATCTAGAATCTACAAAGAACTTAAACAAATTTACAGGAAAAAAACAACCCCATCAAAAAGTGGGCAAAGGATATGAACAGACACTTCTCAAAAGAAGACATTTATGTGGCCAACAAACATATGAAAAAAAGCTCATCATCACTGGTTATTAGAGAAATGCAAATCAGAACCACAATGAGATACCATCTCACGCCAGTTAGAATGGCAGTCATTAAAAAGTCAGGAAACAACAGATACTAGAGAGGATATGGAGAAATAGGAACACTTTTACACTGTTGGTGGGAGTGTAAATTAGTTCAACCATTGTGGAAGACAGTGTGACGATTCCTCAAGGGTCTAGAACCAGAAATACCATTTGACTCAGCAATCCCATTACTAGATATATACCCAAAGGATTGTAAATCATTCTACTATAAAGACACATGCACACATATGTTTATTGCAGCCCTGTTCACAGTAGCAAAGACTTGAAACCAACCCAAATGCCCATCAGTGATAAACTGGATAAAGAAAATGTGGCAAATATACACCATGGAATACTCTGCCGCCATAAAAAAGGATGTGTTCATATCCTTTGCAGGGACATGGATGAAGTTAGAAGTCACCACTCTCAGCAAACTAACACAGGAATAGAAAACCAAACACTGCATGTTCTCACTCATAAGTGGGAGTTGAACAATGAGAACACATGGACACAGGGAGGGGAACATCACACACTGGGGCCTGTCGGGGGGTGGGGGCTGGGGAGGGATAGCATTAGGAGAAATACCTAATGTAGATGACGGGTTGATGGGTGCAGCAAACCACCATGGCACATGTATACCTATGAAACAAACCTGTACATTCTGTACATGTATCCCAGAACTTAAAGTATAATAATTAGAAAAAAAAAGAACAGCTATTATCAAAAAACAAATGATATCAAATGTTGGCGATGATGTGGAGAAAAGGGAACCCTTACACACTGTTGGTGGGAATGTAAATTAGCGCAGCTATTATGGAATACAGTATCGAGGTTCCTCAAAAAATTAAAAATACAACTACCATATGCTCCAACAATCCTACTACTAGGTATAGTGGGAAAGGACATGAAGTCAAGTATCCTGAAGAGACACCTGCACTCCTATGTTCACTGCAGTATTATTTACCATTGCTAAGATATGTCATCTACATAAGTGTCCATAAAGGTTGGATAAAGAAAATGTATATATACACAATGAAATACTACTTAGTCATAAAAAAGAATGAAATCCTGTCATTTGTGACAACATGGATGACCCTGGAGGACGTTATGTTAAGTTAAATAAGCCAGACACAGAAAGACAAATACTACCTGATCCCACGCATGTGGAATCTAAAACAGTTGGTCTCATAAAATTAATGAAAAAACAGTGGTTACCAGAGACTAGGGAGGATAGATGGAAGGCAAGCACAGGGAGAGGTTGGTTGGTCAATGGGTACAATTAGAAAGGAAGGATAAGTTCTGGCGTTCTATTAGTAAGATGATTATAGTTAACAGTAAGGTATTATATATCTCAAAATGGCTAGAAGAGAGGATTTTGAATATTAGAACCACAAAGAAATGACAAATGAAGTGATGAATATGCCAATTACCCTTTGATCGTTACACCATACATGTATACATGTATGAAAACCTCACATTGTACCCCATAAAAATGTACAATTATGTGTCCATTGAAAATAAAAATAAAGTGTTAGGTAATAGTGGTTCTCAAACAGAGCAGGACTGTTGACTCAGTACCCACCATTCATTCATTTTTTTAAGACTTTACATGTAAAAAATTTGACACATATGTAAAAAATAGTATAATCAACCTCTTCAAACCCAGGAGCCAGCCTCAGCATTATCAATATATTGTCAGCCTTGTTTTATGTCATTCCCTTTTTCCTCTCCACTGGAATATTTTAAAGCAAACCCCAGATATCATCCAATTTATCCATTTATGCTTTAGGATATATCCTAAAAGATGAGGAACTCTTACTGGATATAATCATAACACCATTGTCTTACCTAAGAAAATTATAATTTTTAATATCCAGTTAGAATTTTTGTTTCCCAGTTGTTTAAAAAATCTCTTTTTCTTACCTAGCAATCACATAATGTTCTTTTAAGATGTTAAAACTCAAATGCCAGTCCAGTCTATCCATTGTAAAGTTCCCCATTAATTTTTCACATGATATTTTTAGGATCATTACTTAGAGCTATGTTGCTGTTCCTCATTTTTTAAGTTCAGTAACAAATTGTTATTGAACTCCTGCTTTATGCTTAATGCCAGTAGTAGGGCTGGCATGTACTACATATCCAATAAATCTGCCCCCTTCTCTGCTCCAGCCAGCAAGGTATCTTTTCCACAGATAGCTGCTAAGAAGGTCTAGATTTCCATAACCCCCTGGGAAGTACGGTAATACCCACAAGCATATCTGCAAATCACTATAGCAGAGTTTATCTCCCAGGCCCATCCCACTTCCTCCTCCAGCTCTCCTTGGAGCTAAACATTAAGTCAAAATTTCATCAAGTATTACCTCCAATATAAAATATTTTCTATGGATAACTTTGGGTTGTTCTGTGAAATTTCTGAGTATCAATATTGCCCACCAACATAGATAACACTTCCTGAGAATCTCCTTTGCATAGTTCTATGTGATTACAGTTGGGAGGGAACCTTAATGATTACCTTATCCAACCCTCTCATTTTATAGATTAGGAAATTGGTTTCCAAGGTTATTCAGCTACGTAGAGAGAAATGTGACTAGAAGCTATTTCTTTTCTGTCTTTGTCAATGCTGTTTTCAATATATCTCATTGCCCTTTGTTTTTCCAATATTCATATGTTTCATTTTCTGACATACATTGTTTCTAATGTGCTTTGTATCTTGAGTTCAAATGAGTGTTCCCCCCGCCATATTGCTGTATGAATTTAGATGATTGCCTAAATAAATATATAAATATGTGGGGGGGGGTGTTGTTTATTATTGTTTATATTTTCTATTTTAGATGCAGCAGTTCTTAGGAAGACCTCTTGTGAAAGAATCTTTCTTTAGACCCATACTTACTGTTCCTCAAATGCCTGCAGTTTGCCCGGGAGTCGTCTCTGCAACTGGCCAACCTAGAGCCCCCCTGGTAAAAGCTTTCTTGGTGGAATAGATGTTAATTAGTTTTTTTATTACTCTAGTGGGCTTCCTGAATGAGTATCTTCATTTTGTTCATTCATTTGATATGATAATGATGGGGGTGGTGGTGATAATTGAATGAATACTTCCTGTGAAGCACTGTGCTCAGGGTGTTACATATATTATTTAACTGATACTAGCTTCGTTTTGGGATACAAAGATAAATATGTTTTTATACTAGAGAATCCTTAAAATTATAGTATTGCTTCTGAAATAGGCAACAATGCAGGGTAAATTGACATTTTTAATAGATTTTTTTGGCATGGTTGTTGGGAAGATTGAAAAGCAAAGAAGCCAAGTCACAACAAACTATATTATGGCACAAAGCTAAAGAAAAATTTTATTTCCACACACGTACACACACATAGTAGGACAGTATTTCAAGTGTATCTATAAACAGACTATAAATAGCATCACCTTGAAACATAAACTGTAAAGTTATAAATCTTCCCAGCTACAAATAGCCAGATAAACTTTATCCAAACCTGAAGAAGGAACATATAAATTTGAAATTACCAGAATTATCAGTTGTAATCTTGGTGAAGGTTTTTTATTAAAGGAAAATCTTCCAAAAGAATGATGTTAGATGTAATTAATGAAAATTCTCTAATCTTGATTTTCCTATAAGTATAATTAGGTGCAATTAATTGTTTCTTTTCTTTTCTGCTCCCCATATATTGCTAACAGTTTCCTTTTGAAATACATGGTCAGGTGGACTCTGCTTATTATTGTCGAGGCTACCTGTCTATAAACAAATCTGTATATAGTCCTTAATATGTTAAATAAGTAACACATCTTTTTACTACCATGATATTACAGTGTTAACTCTTGCAATTTGCTTGCCCACCATTCTATAAGAAACTATGATAAAATTTTATTAAAAACATTAAAATACCTTAATCTCCTAATAAGATTACTTTCTGATTCCTGGGGTAAAGCTTGACATAGAAGCAAATTCAGATTTCTGGGAAATATTCTGCTTCCCCTCACTTCTTAGGCTCTGTACAAATTATTACAGTGACTGTTAGTAGTTGCTAGTTTTTCATGAATAATAACCTAATATTTGAAAATAACCCATTAGAGCCTTACATAAAAGGTGCAAGTGGTCATAATTATCTTAGTAATCAGATGAGCACTCCAAAAATACTCTGTTATTATATTATTTAATTAGAATCTTAAGAAGGAACTACCATAAAATATGGAGAAAAGTGATGGTTTCATGGCTGCATGTCACTACAACTTCTGCACCACTTTTGTCTACAACATTGATGAGACATTGGGCAGAGCAGTTCTAGTAGTATTCCCATCTTTATTTGGTTGTTTGAAAAATGTAACTTTACTTTCTCGTTATAAAGGTATATATGCTAATCACAAAATGCGAATAATATAGAAATGTAAGCACATTAGAAAACAAAGTTACTGTGCAATTGATCCCTAAGAAATAATCACTTCTTACGCATTGTAATTTACAGACCTTTCTCCGTGTATACATATGCATTTAAAATTTTTTAATGTAAAAGGAAGTCGTATCATAAATACTGTGCCACAGACTTTTTAAAAAATCATATTTCATGCATATCTCTTATGCCCAGACATACAGTTCTATTTTTAAAAACTTGATTAGATGTGCCATAATTTATTCATTTCTCTATAGATGTAAGGTTTTTTCAGTTTTCACTGTTAAAAGAGAAACAGCAGTAAACAGCCTTCATGTTTTGCTGTACATGTATGTAATTACTGAAGCAAGCATGTCCTATTTTAAAAATAAGTTTAAATATTTATAAACAGTTAGAAATATTGTTTGTATTAGTTAAGAGAAAAACCCTAAAAGGGATTGTGTATGCCAGTATTCTTCTTCATTCTACCCTTTTCTTTGTCCTATTTTTAAAATAAGTTTAAAATAGTTACAAACAATTAGAAATATTAAGAGAAAAACTGTAAAAATTGAATGTGTATGCCAGTACGCTTCTTCATTGTACCCATTTTCTGAGGTATAGGAATGTCACTTCTTAATAATTAAACCTGCTGGGCTATAGCTCTCTGCCTCTTACAGATGACTGGCATAGCCTGGGCTCTGCCAGCGCCTGTGGGAGACGCTGTGCCTCCCAGTGCAGGTCTGCGGAGTGATCCCTCCATCATGAATTGGGAGAGAATTACAGACAGGCTGAAAACTGCCTTTCCACAGCAAACCAGGTACCTTAGTTTTTATTTATTGGTGGGTACAGATCATATTCTCCAGTTTTCATAGCCATAATTGTGGCAATGAAACATTTCAGAGAAACATAACAAACACAAAAAAAGTACAGATGTTTCCTTACCTTGACCTTGGTAAGGAAAAAGAAATTTACCAAGAAGAGACAGTGTTCAATGGTGAACCTCTTCATTAAAAAGTTACTTGTCTTAAATCATGAGAGAATAACTTTAAATTTAGGTATGCTCATTTACTAAAAGTACAACTAGATGTAAACTTACCCAATTTTAATGGCACTAACTGCCATTATTATCTTAACCTATCTCCAAAGTGAATTTTAAGTTGATTGTATGCTATATAAGCCCAAACATCTTTAGGATTTAATTTCCTAATTTCCTTAATTTTGAGGGTCCTTATAGTTTCTTTGTTGGAGAACACACTAAAAATGCAAGAAATCATAACTTTACTGTGCTTTTCACAGTCTACCTTTAGTAGAAAGATATTTAATTATATTCCTACACAAATGAAGTTTCTTTTATCTCAACTCATATCTAAGGAAATAATTCTACTTTTCACAAGTATTTTTATTTCAATACAAACATTTAATATATATACTGGCACACTTCATTATTAAATTATAATTTTATAAATTTCATAATAGTGAATAGATAATAAAATAGAACTCTAGTACAGTTGTTATAAATATGTATAAAAACATTATAAATCAAAGGTAGTTGCATAAGGCTGATGACATGACACTTCATTTGGGAAACAAAAATATTTCATTCTACTTTGTCCCATCAAAACTGTAGATGCAGGCTTTGGATCAATGGATCTTGGGAATTAAAAAGGAACATATCAATTAAAATAATTGTGGGTTCTTTCATTATATAATTAATGTGATTTTTAACCCTTGCTTTCCTGTTCTGTTTAATCTTTGTTTTCTGAGTTTTACGAAAGTACAACTATTAACACTGATAAAGAAGAGAGAAACCAATAGCAACATAGTTAAAAATAAATATGTTATCCTGAGCAAGAAACCACTTGAGAGATGGTATAAAGAACCCAATGCATAAATAAGTGGATAAACTTAATTTTCACCTAGTGAGCTCTCAAAAACGAAGTCTCTTTTTGGAAAGAAAATAAGTACTAAACTTTATCACTCATGAAAACATTAAGTATCATTAATGAACACAATTAGGAGTTTTCCTTTTGGTTTAAGATAAATGCAGATGGACCTGTGATCACTTTTTTAGATCAAAGACCTAAAGAGTCCTGTCTGTATGCTACATATCAATCATGCGATAGGATTTTATATCTCCTTTGGTGGGTACATCCTCAAAGGTACTAAGGAAAATCATTACTGCCCTTTCCTTTCCTTGATCTCTTGCAGAAAGGAACTTACAGATTTCTTACGGAAATTGAAGGATGCTTATGGAAAATCCTTGTCTGAACTGACATTTGATGAAATTGTTTGCAAGATTTCCCAGTTTATTGACCCCAAAAAGTCTCAGGTAAAATGCAAAAACAACCAAAAAACCTGTATCTCTCTGCCCTTAACTCTAGTAGTTAACTGTTTTAAATATCTCCATAACCTGTTCAGAAAATCAGTAACTTGTAATCATATTAAATCATCTATTAACAGTAAATAACAACTTCAACTTAACAAATGATATCAGAAGTCTTTTTGAAATACCTGTTACCTAATCATTCTAGAATAAAACTGACCTCCTTGAAATTTGCTCTAGTTTCTTTGAATGAGTCTAAAGAGGGAGAGATTTTCTAATTTTCTTGAAAGATTTATTTTAATTAAAAGAATGTATAGAGTTATTTTTGTTTTTACCTAGCTCTGAGTATATAAGTATTGCCACCATTTTGTTCAAGATTTCTCACAAATCTGATTATTTACCCTTTTGCTAGTTCTTACTATACCCCGTTCTGTACTAATGTTTCAGCTCTTACTGTTTTAGGATAATTCTGAAAAAATAAACATTATGTTCTTATTTTCAGAGTCAAGGAAAATCAGTGTCAAATGTTAATTGTGTTTCACCTAGTCATTCTCCATCACAGCCTGATGCTGCCCAGCCCCCAAAACCAGCCTGGAGGCCACTCACTTCACAGGGTCCTGCCACATGGGAAGGAGCCAGTAATCCAGTGAGACTGAAATTTTTGATTCTGAACACATTTAGATTTGGGAGAAAACAATGAGCTAAATTTAACATTTTCTGTATTTTCCCTAGGATGAGGAAGAGGAAGAAGAAGAGCCTTGTGTGATCTGTCATGAGAATCTGTCTCCAGAAAATCTTTCAGTTTTGCCTTGCGCTCACAAATTCCATGCTCAGGTAACACTTTAAATTTTCCCATTAATCAGCTAAATGAGATTCATACTGCCTTACTTATTATCATATACATGTATCATTATCCATTGTTGTCTCACAAGTTCCACTGGATATAACTCTGAGCTTTTGGGTACCACACAGAAACATTTATGCTTTTCCCATACATAGCCATGGATTGCATTGTGCTCTCTCAGATCTCCATCCACCCTACAGAAGAAGGGGACAATGTTGAGAGTCAGATGGTACACAGTAGGCAGTTCCTTCGAATAGAACTGGGACAAATGTCGATTGACGTGGTAGTTTAGTGGCAGAACTAGCAACAGCACCACTTGAAATTGACATGCTATAAATACCACATAGTGTCCTTTGTCCATAATTAATGACAGCCCCCTTTCATAAAGCATAAGATTTATCAGTCTCTTCAGGCTTCTATATTTGCTTTTGAAAGATACTCAGGCTTGAGTTTTGATGTTAGAAAAATGTGAGGCATGGTGGCTCACACCTGTAATCCCAGCACTTTAGGAGGCTGAGGTGGGTGGATCATGAGGTCAGGAGATCGAGACCATCCTGGCTAACACTGTGAAACCCCATCTCTACTAAAAATACAGAAACAAAATTAGCCGGGCGTGGTGGCGGGTGCCTGTAGTCCCAGCTACTCAGGAGGCTGAGGCAGGAGAATGGTGTGAACCCAGGAGGTGGTGCTTGCAGTGAGCCGAGATCGGGCCCCTGCACTCCAGCCTGGGTGATAGAGTGAGACTCCATCTCAAAAAAAGAAAAAGAAAAATATGAGGTTGGCATGTCTTTTGTTGATTCTTGGCATTTATATAGATTAAATTCTGGTGTTACTGCCACACAGTTGCTATTGGTATATAATTAATGATCCAAGTCCTCTGTTGCAGAGATGTAATTTGACACAGGAAAAGGTAGTCATAGTAAAGAAAGGCTTTTCAGGGAAGTAAATAATAGCCAGTTCAGTCAAGCCATGTTTGTAAGACATCATTTCAAAGATATGATATGTGGTACCTGGTACAGAATTATATTTTGTATTTGCTCTAATATGAAGATACATCCACAAAATGCCTAATCCCAAAAGTTTTCTAGGAAAGATCCTTAGCCATTGACTTTCCCCTTTGAAGTTTATAAGGTTCTGACAATTTAGGAAATACATGTTTAACAAAACTTATCCTACTCTTTGCCATTGCCCACAAGTAGAAAGCATATAATTCATTCAGGTCATTTTTTATGACTATAGTTAGTGGGCCTATTATATATAGTGCTTATTATTAATCCTCTCTCATCTGACCTGGCCCTCCATTATTTATATACGTAAAAATGATTTGTTTTTGGAGAGTCAGCATTCAAGCAAGTGACTTAACAGATAGTTCATAGCCGAAAATTACTGTCATTATCGCCAAAGAAAACAATCTGAGAAGTGTATTCATGATCTAGGGATTTTAACTGCAAACACCATAAGCATTTCATACCAGGTACTAGTGACTTTTGTATCATTAGTTATGACTTTTTCTGGATTATAAATGAGAACAGTATATAGTAAACCAAAGAATATAGCAAGTTTCTCCAATTTCCTTGTCAGGAAGGATTGCTAGTCATCTTGAAAATTGAGGTTGAAGGAAGCATTTCTAGTAGAATAAACTGGCTAAAAGGTATTGTGCAGTTACCACCTATTTTGTTTAGCAAACCACAGGGAAGGTGCCATGGTTGCAGCAATTGGTTTGACGATCCACAGCGTAAGGCTTTAAAGATCCACCAGAAGACATGTTGGTTGGTAACCCTGATGCATAGAGTGACAACTGCCTCTGCTAGGCTACATCTGAGAGACTGACATAAATCTTTTTGCTCCTTAGTGCATTAGACCATGGTTGATGCAACAGGGGACATGTCCAACGTGCAGACTCCACGTTTTGCTACCAGAAGAATTCCCTGGTCACCCCAGCCGGCAGTTGCCCAAGATCTGATACAAGGTCGGGGTGTCTATGCAAAGGAAGCTCAGTTTTCTTTTATTATGAGCTGCTTGTTTGAGTGGTGTAAAACTATGTGCTCTTCAATATAGTGCTAAAGAAGCCAGCTAATTTTATCAAAGCAGCAGCCAAAGAAGTCAGGACAAATCTTCAGGACTTGTGAAATGAACTGAAAGAGCTTGAAGCAGATGGAATTTTAATAGTTACACTATATATGCTCTTAGTAGGTTTTTTTCTTGTAGTGGAAACATAACTGTTAGCATATTTCTTAGGATGTTTTTTCTTGTCTTTTTAAATTCTTATTTCACTCATCCTTTACTCTCCCCTCAAGTATTCTACACTTTAATTTCCTGAAATAAATTTAAGGAAAAGGGAAATAGTAAAGAAGTAGGAATGGGTGCAGCACACCAGCATGGCACATGAATACACATGTAACTAACCTGCACATTGTGCACATGTACCCTAAAACTTAAAGTATAATAATAATAAAAGAAAAAAAAAAGAAAGTAAAAAAAAAAAAAGAAGTGGATATTCACGGAGAGCTATGAGGGGATAAAAGGGTATGATCTAATGGTAAGAAACTGGAAGAAACATAGCAAGTCATTTGTTCAGATTCTTCTCTGTGTCCCTGTGTCTCCAGAGATAAGGATGTCCTTTTCCTCCAGGTATACAGTGGGTACCTCTAGAATGAGGGTCTTATGACCTGCTTCCAGGGAAGGTCAGAGAATCCTTCCTAGGTTTTATGACTTGTTTCTGGGAAGAAGTGCAGGAGGAAAGTGAGTGAGACTTCCCTGCTTCTGCTGTTTTCTCAAACATCAAGATGCCATATTTTGGAGTAGCATGTCTTAAATCTCATCACCCGTCTCAGGTGCAGTTTCATGGCCATGAAGAAGACAGAAAGACCACTCATACCTGCATAAGTATTATCACAAACTTTCTTATCTTCTGTTTGTTCTCCTGAAAACCCATTTGTCTTTCCTAAACGAACCAATTTGTCCTTCCCATAGATGTCTTTCTCCCCCATTCCTTTCCCCTACTAAGTTAGGTATATAAGCCCCAAATTCTAACCACACTTTTCAGTTACTCTTCACGGAACACTCCCACATGTGCGAACATTGTCCGCATAAATAAGCTCTTTTCTCTTACTAATGTCTTTTTTTCAGTTTAATTTGCAGGCTCCTATTGAAATAACAAAAGTTGGTAGAGGAAAAAGTTTTTTCTCCCCTACAAAGGCCAAGAACATTTTGGCTTTATATTTATATTTATATTATAATGTGAATTGATTATAATTATAATGTGAATTGATAGAAATATATATATTTTTTTTCTGCCCCTGCTTGGCACATGACAGAACATGGGCATAGACAGACTGGCTATTGGTAATCCAGTCCTGGGAGATGATCAGGAGGCAGTACTCAATCCTACTTTCTTCTCTACAGCTTCCCATGGGCTAAAGAATTTACATGTCTGCCCACAGCAAATGTACTCAGGCTTCTACACTAACATAAGCCCACGGAAATGAAACAGAAAGGGACAGTTCATATGTTTCTGAATAGATCCAGTTGAATAGTCTCATTCAATTTGAGACTGTTGAACAACTGTTGTTGTTCTACATACATTTAAAGTCAGGGCACATGCGTCACTGCTTATTTTTCTTACTTGACATATTCCCTGCATTTCCATGTCTGCCTGTCCTTTAGATAAACAGTAAAAGTTTCCCATGTGCCAGTATTTCTCAAATGGTTTACATCAGAATCACCTGGAGGACTTTTAAGCTAGATTGTTTGGTCCCATCCCAGGGATTCTGAATCAACAGGTTTGCGATGGGTCCAGATAGTTTACTTTTCCAAGTTTACTAACAAGTTTGCCAAGTTCCCCCAGTTTATTACCATTAGACCATACCTTTTTGTCCAATCATTTAAAACAAATTTTTATATAATAAGTTTTATTTGTATGTAATAAATTTTATTATATAAAAATAAGTTTTAATATATATTATATAAAAAGTTTTAATAAATACCTAATATATTATTTAATATGATAAAACTTATATTAAATGAAATTTTATGCTGTTCTCTTGTCAATCTGTCTTTTGTTATCTTGCTGGTGTGCCTGTCATGTGAGGGACTGCAATCTGATATGCCTGTTTTCCACAGTCAAAGCAATTACAAGAGAATTGTTACAATTACCCAGTTATGTCAAGAGATTTTTTTTTAATTCACTAAGGTAGAGATAAGGAGAATGTATTAAAATAGGATATTTTAATTATAAATGCATGACTGGGGAGGGGGTATTGTTTTTGAATAAAATATGAGGTTATTTGCCATGACAAAAAAAAAAAGAAGTAGGAAAATCCCATGGAAATTTATGTTCCTTCTAACTTTTAAAACTACCTAAAAAATATAATTGATTTAAATTATATCTCAATATTCCCCATTCTTTTATATCCCCTTAAATAGGTACCCATGAAGAGATTATGAACTACTTGAAGGTGGAGACTGTACGGTGGTGTGTTGGAGCTGGCTTGTAATGTCTTATGAGTGACAATCGTTAGTTTGAGGAATTTTGTGAGACAGTTGTCAAATTGTTGCTAGCTTGAAATCTGCGGCAATTGGAGTATTTACACCATAGAAATGCTATAAGTGAAGACCTACCTTTCCCTTAAGAGCTAGTTGTTAAACCTTTACCAGCATACCACTGGACCTTGTCTAAAATTTCTTTGTGTTCCCAGTGTCTTGCCCAGTAGATACAAGATAAATATTGCCAGAATCAGATATCAGGAAGTAGTAAGAAAAGGAGTTAATATGCAAACTAAATCACTCGCTCAATTGAATAATTGAGATCTTCTGTTCATTTGTTCCTTGGACCTTAATCATTTGCATTTTGGAGAAAATTTTTTCTGCTTTAAAAGTCTGTAATTTCAGTTTTTGTGTCGGGGAGAGGGAAAAACTATTTGTCTGTAGTTGCTTTTTGTGACAAAGTGAATACCCACTGGGCTAAGTTTCATATCTAAAGCTTGTCACTAAGAATTTTCATTTTTAGGGGTCAAAAACCTATTTTGAAAATAGTGTTGTGTGAATGCTGTAAGTGTTGTACATGTCTCTGGTTTCAGAATTAAAAGAATTCAGAGTTACCTTGTGAGATAAATGTTCTTTGCTTCATATTCACAGTTTCACCTCCATTTAAATTTATGGGGAAGAATAAATGTTTCCTGACTCAGAAACAATTTTGCCTCCATATTTCAGTGCAAATATATTTTGAAGTTACTTTTAAATATTTATTTAAAACCTCTGTTTCTGTAACTGTATGTTAAACGTATTCTTCTGTAATGAGAATAGACTGGAACATGTGAGGGAAAAATATTTAAAAAAAGATGGCAGTCATCTAGACATGTAAAATGCCAAGAATGTCTTAGAATTGCACAATTTAGAATTTATAGAGCCTTTAATCACCTTGTCTAGCACCTTGTATTAGTCCATTTTCATGCTGCTGATAAAGACATACCTGAGATTGGGCAATTTACAAAAGAAAGAGGTTTAACGGACTTACAGTTCCACATGACTAAGGAGGCCTCACAATCATGGTGGAAGGCAAAGAGGAGCAAGTCACATCTTACATGGATGGCAGCAGACAAGGAGAGAGAGCTTGTGCAGGGAAACTCCCATTTTTAAAACCATCAGATCTCATGAGGCTTACTATCACGAGAACAGCATGGGAAAGACCTGCCCCCGTGATTAAATTATTTCCCACCAGGCCCCTCCCACAACATGGAATAATGGGAGATACAAGATATTTGGGTGGAGACACAGAGCCAAACCATATCACACCTTAAGGTCATGGTCATATAGCTAGTTATCTTGTAAAACCAATGTTTCTTAGTTCATACTTACAACTGCAATTTCACTTTCATTTAGAAAAGAATAAATGTTTCTTAATTGAACAACTATTTTATCTGTGTATTTCATTATAAGCATATTCTGAAACTACTTGAAATCTTTACTTCAAATGTATCTTTCTGTTTAATTGGGCTTAAACTTTTTCTACTGTTTTGAGAAACGTTAGGAAAATGGGAAGGAAAATATCCAAGAAGACAGTTATATAGACTTATAAAATGCCACGATTGTTTTAAAATAACAGAATGCCAAAGTTCATTGGGTCCTTAGTGACATATAATACATTTTCTTATTTTACAGGTATGTTGTACCCAATGTCACATGGCCAGATAGTGGCTAGGCCAGTCTCAGTACTTGAGGGTCTCTGATGCCTCATCACATGCTTTCTCCACAAACTCATGTTGTAATAGGGTATTGGTGTTGACTTGCCATGCTTAGCTCCAAGGATGGGGCCAGAGAACTTAATACAATAGTTGGTATATAGGGAGAATGTAATAGGACAGTGCTCCAGGAAGTTATATTTAATTCTTTAGGTGCTGAAGGTAATGGGATTATAGTTTTTGATGTATACTTTAACAGTAAAGACAATTGCAGGGGTCATTCTACCACACACAGTGATCACTGTCATGCCTGTGCCTACTGAGGGATGATCCAGAACACTCCACCCTGCTGAGAAATCCAGTGAGGACCAGAAAGCTCTTAAAGTGGAAATATTTCCATCAAAAACAACCTGAAAGTATCCGGTAATATCACTGCAGCTGCTGTTAGATGATATGTCTTAGATTTTCCTTCATATTTATTGTCCATGTGTGTAACATTTTATAGCTTCTATGGGACACCTTCAAATGTGTTTAGTACCTCATTTGATCCATGAATAACTCTGAGGTGAATGTTGTTATGCTTATTTTACAAATGATGAACCTGAGACTCAAGTAAGAGGGAAATAATTTGTCCAAAGTCATAGGTACAAAGTGGCATTCTGAGATTTGATTGGAGTCCCTTAGCTGGTATTCTCTTCATAGTTGCAGCCTCACTTTGGGTTGACTTCGTGCACACAAGAAATACAGTATTTTCTTCCTTTTAAAAAAATTTTATGATAAATTTTATTTTATGATTAATTCAGGGAAGGTAGGCTTATATTTTACCAGATTCAAAGTTAGCAAGAACCACCTGCATTTATCAAATACTCCTGGAATACCTTATCTGTGAGCCTCGTAGATAAGAATTCTAGGATCACAGTAATGTACTATTCTGGTTTATACCCAGATAAAAACAACAAATGAATACTAATTTATTATAAAGATACATAGTTTGATTTTCTTGAGTTGGCAGTTTTCAGTAACTAGTGCAGATTTGAACATGCTACTTAACAGAACTAATGAGCTCTTGTTCTTAATTATCCTGGACCACCATCACATTACATGATGTATTTATAACAATGCATATTCCAATAAGCTGTCTGGGAATCTCCATTTGGAGTAAGTACCACAGGTGTTCTGATGCACATTATATTTTGAAAACAACTGCTATAGTAGAAAGCAGATTTCTCACTCAGATCTAGGTTTAGATTTTTGAATTCCATATCTAGCATATTGTATGATCATGAAGACATTACTTTTCTCAACCAGTTTCTTTTCTGGAAAATGGATAAAATGCTACTTGCCTGACTGTTTCATTTTAAATGAACATTTATTAGTTTTCTTTCCCAAAGTAGCAAATGAAATTTCCGTTAGTCATTCAATCTGTTTACACTTACTCCTTGATCATAAAGTTATTAAAGGTTTTTTATCTTCAACTATCCTTACTAAAGCAAAGAGAGGAAAATATAACCAGTAGTCCAACTTCTATTTTCACATGGCCCCAAAAATGTTTGAGTGTTAAGTTTATTGCATAAAAAATATCACAATCTCATAACATTTGCTTGATCCATTTAAACTACATGAACTTTAATAATTCCTAATACTGCCTAGCAAGGTTGAACAAACTGATAATGATCTAGGAGACTGAAAGTTTTGAAGTTATGTAGGAAAGATATCTCCATTTGAGAGGCAAGGACATTAAAGAAGTGATTTGCTCAAGGTCATGCAATGTTTGAGTAGTAAGGTGATTCTAGACTCCTCACATCAAAATCAGTGTACTCTCCATGTGTTTATTGCAGCACTATTTACAATAGCAAAGACTTGGCAAACCCAAATGCCCATCAATGGCAGACTGCATAAAGAAAATGTGGCACATATACATCATGGAATACCATGCAGCCATAAAAAAATGAGTTCATGTCCTTTGCAGGGACATGGATGAAGCTGGAAACCATCATTCTCAGCAAACTAACATAGGAACAGAAAACCAAACACCGCCTTTTCTCACTCATAAATGGGAGTTGAACAGTGAGAACACAAGGACACAGGGAGGGGAACATCACACACTGTGGCCTGTTGGAGGGTGGAGGGCAAGGGAACGGAGAGCATTAGGACAAATCCCTAATGCATGTGGGGCTTAAAAACTTAGATGACGGGTTGATAGGTGTAGCAAACCACCATGGCACATGAATACCTATGAAACAAACCTACACGTTCTGCACACGCATCCCAGAACTTAAAGTAAAATAAAATAATCAGTGTACTCCCCACAACACCATTTTGCCTTAAAAAAAAAAAAAAAAAAAAACAAATGAAACTATTTGAAAACCACTAAATTATTTCTCTGGGTAAATATGGAAGCAAAATAAGATTAAAATAGTCATCACAAGGAGACATTGTTCTAGCTCAGAATAAAGCTGAATTTACAGTATTGTTACATCAAGGTTGATAGTATTTGATTAATACTTCAAAAGAGCAAAGACCAGATTCTTCATCTTTTCAATTTCAAACATTATGTTGGTGTTTAGAGCATATCTCCAGGATTGTATCTTTTTTTTTTTAACCGTGAAATGTAACAACCACAATAAGGATTCTAACATCACAAGAACACACCTCCGCAGTATGAATAATCTCTGTCAGTGCACTAACTCGACTCAGAGAAAATAGCAATGGTATAGGAAACTGTCACCATGGACCTTTGACATCTCCCTTGAAAATACTATGTGCCAAAAGGAAGGGCTAATTACAAGAAATAGTTGTAAAGTTTTGCATTATTCTAATCTAAGGAAAACTAAGTCTGAAGGCCTATGACAAGAGCCATTCCTCAGCAACTAAAGGTGAAATATTTCAAGTAAGAAAAGTAGATTGTTTTAATAAATTATGAACATATTCACAACATTATCAGATCATTACAAAATAAACCTAAACAGACATTCAAACCAATATTTATTTATTGGATATGTTTTTTAAAAGCCAGAAACTTTTAATTGTTAATTTTTGCATACATAATAGGTGCATATATTTATGGGGTACATGAGATACTAAACATAGTCCTTTGTTTAAGCATGCAATGCATAATAATTTCATCATGGTAAATGGGTTATCCATCCTCTCAAGCATCTATCCTTTCTGTTACAAACAATCCAAATATACTCTTTTAGTTATATTAAAATGTAGTTATTGACTATAGTTGCCCTGTTTTGTTATCAAATACTAGGTCTTATTCATTCTCTCTATTTTTTGTACCTATTAACCATCCCCACTTTTTCCCCCACCAGATACCACATTACCCTTCCCAGCCTCTGGTAACCATCCTGCTATTCTCTATCTCTATGAATTCAATTGTTTTAATTTTTAGCCCCCACAAATAAGTGAGATCATGCAATGTTTGTTTTTCTATGCCTGGCTTATTTCACTTAACATAATGACCTCCAGTTCCACCCATGTTGTTGCAAATGACAGGATCTCATTCTTTTTTGTAGTTGAACAGTACTCCATTGTGTATATGCCACATTTTCTTTCTGCATTCATCTGTCGATGAACACTTAGGTTGCTTTCAAATCTTGGCTTTTGTGAACAGTGCTGCAACAAATATGGAAATGCAGATATCTCTTTAATATACTGATTTCTTTTTTTGTGGTATATACTCAGCAGTGAGATTGCTGTATCATATGGTAGCTCAATGTTTAATTTTTTGAGGAACCTGCAAACTGCTTTCCAAGTGGTTGTACTAATTTAAATTGCCACCAACAGTATATGAGGGTTCCCTTTTCTCCACATCCTCTCCAGCATTTATTATTGCCTGTCTTTTGGAGAAAAGCCATTTTAACTGTGGTGAGATAGCATCTCATTGTAGTTTTGATTTACATATTTTCTGATTATCTGTTTGCCATTTGTACATCTTCTTTTGAGAAATATCTATTCAGATGTTTTGCCCATTTTTAAATTGGATTATTAGATTTGTTCTTGTAGAGTTGTTGACCTCCTTATATATTCTGATTATTAATCTCTTGTCAAATAGGTAGTTTGCAAATATTTTCTCCCATCCTATGGGTTGCCTCTTCACTTTGTTGATTGTGTCTATTGTTGTGCAGAAGCTTTTTAACTTGATGTGATCCTATTTGTCCATTTTTGCTTTGGCTGCCTGTGCTGTGGAGTATTCCTTAAGAAATCTTTGCCCACACCAGTGTCCTGGAGCGTTTCCCCAATTTTTTTTTTTTTTTTTTTTTTGGTAGTAGTTTCATAGTTTGAGGTCTTAGATTTAACTATTTAATCCATTTTGATTTGATTTTTATATATGGTGAGAGATAATGGTCTATTTTCATTCTTCTGCATATGGATATCCAGTTTTCCCAGCACCATTTATTGAAAAGACTGTTCTTTTCCCAGTGTATATTCTTGGAGCCTTCATCGAAAATGAGGTCACTGTAGGTATATGGATTTGTTTCGGGGTTCTGTATTCTGTTCCATCGGTTTATGTGTCTGTTTTTTATGCCAGTATTATGTTGTTTTCATTACTATAGCTCTGTAGTACAATTAGACGTCGCATACTGTGATTCCTTCAGTTTTGTACTTTTTTTTTTTTTTTTTTTTGAGACGGAGTCTCGCTCTGTCGCCCAGGCTGGAGTGCAGTGGCACAATCTCAACTCACTGCAAGCTCTGCCTCCCAGGCTCACGCCATTCTCCTGCCTCAGCCTCTCTAGTAGGTGGGACTACAGGCGCCCGCCAATTTTTTGTATTTTTAGTAGAGACGGAGTTTCACCGTGTTAGCCAGGATGGTGTCGATGTCCTGACCTCATGATCTGCCCACCTCGGCCTCCCAAAGTGCTGGGATTACAGGCGTGAGCCACCACGCCCAGCCAGTTTTGTACATTTTTTTGAAGATAGGTGTGACTATTCTGGGTCTTTTATGGTTTCACATAAATCCTAGGATTGTTTTTTCTTATTTCTCTGAAAATGTCATTGGTATTTCGATAGGGGTTGCATTGAATCTGTAGATTGTTTTGGGTAGTGTGGACATTTTAACAATTGATTCTTCCAATCCATGAACATGGAATATCTTTCCATTTTTTGGTGTCCTCTTCAATTTCCTTTACTGGTGTTTTATAGTTGTCATTGTAGAGATCTTTCACTTTGCTTAATTTCTAGGTATTTAATTCGATTTGTGGCAGTTGTAAATGGGATTACTTTCTTGATTTCTTTTCCACGTTGTTTACTATTGGCAAATAGAAATGCTACTCACTGACTTTTGCATGTTGATTTTGTGTCCTGCAACCTTACAAATTTGTTTATCAGGTCTAATAGTTTCTTGGTAGTATTTTTAGGTTTTTCCAAATATAAGATTATATCATTTGCAAACAAGGATGATTTGACTTCTTCCTTTCCAATTTGCCCTTTAGTTCTTTCTGTTGTCTGATTGCTCTAGGTAGGACTTCCAGTACTATGTTGAATAACAGTGATGAAAGTGGGCATCCTTGTCTTGTTCCAGATCTTAGAGGAAAGGCTTTCAGTTTTTCTCCATTCAGTATAAGACTAACTGTGGGTTTGTCATATATGGCTTTTATTATGTCAAGATATTAATATGTTTATTCTATACCCAGGTTCTTAAAGGTTTTTTTTTAAATCATGAAATGATGTTGAATTTCATCGAATATTTTTTCAACATTAATTGAAATGATCATGGCTTTTGACCTTCATTCTGTTGATATGATGCGTTATCATTGATTGATTTGTGTATGTTGAGCCATGCTTGCATCCCTGGGATAAATCTCACTTGATCATGATGAATGATCCTTTTAATGTATTGTTGCATTCGGTTTGCTAGTATTATGTTGAGGATTTTTGCATAAGTATTCATCAGGGATATTGGCTGTAGTTTTCTTCTTCCTTTTATTGATATGTCTTTCTCTGGTTTTGGTATCAGGGTAATACTGGCCTTGTTGAATGAATATGGAAGTATTCCCTCGTCCTCTATTTTTTGAAATAGTTTGAGTAGGGTTGGTGTTAGTTTTTTAAATGTTTGGTAGAATTCAGCAATGAAGCCATCAAGTCCTGGGCTTTTCTTTATTGGGAGCTTTTTATTACAGCTTTGATCTGTTACTTAGTGTGTTCACGTTTTGGATTTCTTCATTGTTTAATCTTGGGAGGTTATATGTGTCTAGGAATTTATCCATTTCCTCTAGATTTTCTAATGTGTTGGCATATAATTGCTCATCGTAGCCACTAATAATCCTTTGAATTTCTGTAGTATCAGTTGTAATGTCTCTTTTTTCATCTTCGATTTTATTTATTTGGGTCTTCTCTCTCATTTTCTTTAGTCTGGCTAAAGGTTTGTCAGTTTTGTTTATCTTTTCAAAGAACCGACTTTTCCCTTTGATCATTTGTATTAACTTCTTCAATTTCATTTATTTCTGCTCTGATCTTTCTTATTTTTTACTACTAATTTTGGGTTTGGTTTGCTCTTGCTTTTCTAGTTCTTTAAGATGCAGCATTAGATTATTTACTTGAAGTTTTTTTTTTTCTTTTCTTTTTTGAGGTAGGCATTTACAGGTATAAATTTCCCACTTAGTACTGATTTTGCTGTATCTCATAGGTTTTGGTATGTTGTGTTTCCATTTTCATTTGTTTCAAGAAACATTTTAATTTCCTTCTAAATTTTTTAATTGACCCACTCATCAGTCAGGAGCATATTGTTTAATTTTCATGTGTTTGTATAGTTTCTAAATTTTCTCTTGTTACTTATTTCTATTTTATTTCATTGTGGTCAGATATTATTTGATATTATTTTAATTTTTTAAATGTTTTAAGACTTGCTTTGTAACCTAACATATGGTCTATCCTTGAGAATTATTCATGTGCTGAGGAGAAGAATGTGTACTCTGCAGCCTTTAGATGAAGTGTTCTGTAAATATCTATTAGGTCCATTTGTTCCATAGTCCAGATTAAGTCCAATGTTTCTTTGTTGATTTTCTGTCTGGAAGACCTGTCCAATGTTGAAAGGAGTGTTGAAGTTTCAAGCTATTATTGTATTGAAGTCTATCTCTCTCTTTAGCTCTTATAATATTAGCTTTATATATCTGGGTGCTCCAGTATTGGGTGCATATATATTTACAATTGTTATGTCCTCTTGCTGAACTGACCCCTTTATTATTACATAATGACCTTCTTTGTCCTTTCTTACAGTTTTTGCCTTAAAATCTGCTACCTGATATAAGTATAGCTACTCCTGCTCTTTTTTTAAAAATTCCCATTGGCATGGGATATCTTTTTCCATCCCAATATTTTCAGTCTGTGTATATCTTCATAGGTGAAGCATGTTGCTTGTAACCAACAGATCATTGGGTCTTTTTTTTTTTTTTTTCAAATCCATTGAGCCACTCTATGTCTTTTGATTGGAGAGTTTAGTCCACTTACATTCAATGTTATTATTGATAGGGACTTACTCCTGCCATTTTGTTGTTTTCTGATTGTTTCATGGTTTTCTTTTCTTTTCCTTTTTTCCTTCCTATATTTCCTTTTAGTGAAGGTGATTTTCTCCGGTGATATGTTTCTTGCTTTTTATTTTTTTGTGTATTCATCATGTTTTTAGATTTGAGGTTGCCATGAGGCTTGAAAAGAATATCTTATAACCCATTATTTTAAACTGATGACAACTTAACACTGATTGCATAAACAGACAAACAACCAAGAGAAAACTAACAAAAACTCTACACTTTGTCCCCCTATGTTTTACTTTTTTATTATTTCTCTTTATATCTTATTGTATTGACTATGTCTTGAAAAGTTGTTGTAGTTATTATTTTTTATTGGTTCATCATTTAGTCTTTTTACTTGAGTAGTTTACATACCACAATTACAGTGTTATAATATTCTGTGTTTTTCTGTGTGCTTACTATTATCAGTGAGTTTTGTACCTTCGGATGATTTCTTATTGGTCATTAATGCCTGTTTCTTTCAGATTGAAGAACTCTGATTTGCATTTCTTGTAGGACAGGTCTGGTGTTTAGCATTTCTTATAGGACAGGTCTCAGCTTTTGTTTCTCTGGGAAAGTACTTATTGCTTCTTCATGCTTGAGAGATATTTTTACTGGGTATACTATTCTAGGGTAAAAGTCTTTTTCCTTCAGCACTTTAGATATGTCATGTCCCTCTTTCCTGGCCTGTAATGTTTGCACTGAAAAGTCTGCTGCCAGATATATTGTAGTTTGATTGTATGTTACTTATTTCTTTTCTCTTGCTGCCTTAGGATCCTTTCTTTATCCTTAACTTTTGGGAGTTTATTAAATGACTTAAGGTAACCTTTTTGAGTTAAATATGCTTGGTGTTCTATAACCTTCTTGTACTTTAATATTGATATCATTCTCTAGGTTTGGGACATTCTCTAATATTATCCCTTTGAACAAACTTTCTACATCTATCTCTGTCTCTGCCTCCTCTTTAAGGCCAATAACTCCTAGATTTGCTTTTTTGAGGCTATCTTGCAGGCATGCTTCATTGTTTTCTTTTGTCTCCTCTGACTGTATTTTCAAATGGCCTGTCTTTAAGCTCATCAATTCTTTCTTTTGCATGATCACTACTCGCGTGAACCCGGGAAGCGGAGCTTGCAGTGAGCCGAGATTGTGCCACTGCAGTCCACAGTCCGGCCTGGGCAACAGAGCGAGACTCCGTCTCAAAAAAAAAAAAAAGAGACTCTGATGCATTCTTCAGTCATTCTTCAGTATGTCAGTTGCATTTTTAAACTGAATTTCTGCTTGATTCTTTTTAATTATTTCAATCTTTGTTAAATTTATTGAGTAGAATTCTGAAATATTCTCTGTGTCATCTTGAATTTCATTGAGTTTCCTCAAAACAGCTATTTTGAATTCTCTGTCTGAAAGGTCACATATCTCTGTTTCTCCAGGATTGGTCCCTGGTGCCTTAGTTTTTTGTTGTTGTTTTGTTTTTTGTTTTTTTGTGTGAGGTCATGTTTTCCTGGATAGTCTTGATGCTTGTGGATTTTCATCATTGTCTACTCTTTGGGCATTGAAGAGTTAGGTATTTATTGCAGTATTTGTAGTTTGGGCGTGTTGTGCCCATCCTTCTTGGGAAGGCTTTTCAGGTGTATTAGTCCATTCTCTCATTGCAATAAAGAACTACCTGAGACTGGAGATGGAGCTTGCAGTGAGCCAAGATCACACCACTGCACTCCAGCCTGGGTGACAGAGTGAGACTCCATCTCAAAAAAAAAAAAACAAAAAACAAAAAACAAAAAACAAGAAACAAAACAAAACAAAAAAAAACAGTCTATACTGTAGGTTGCTTTTTCTCCTCAATGCATTTTCATATTCAAGGCTCAGGGCACAGATGCTGAAAAGAAAGCAACTACATATTACTTGAGGAAGAACTGGATTAGGGAGGAAAAAAATGGAGTTCATGGTGAATAAGATATTCAGAACCTAAGGTGCTAATGTTCCAGAGACAAAAGAACCATAGAGAAGTGAGAGTGACACTCTTCATGCATTTCCCCCTTGAAGCATTTGCCAATTCCTAAGCTGTACCTATGCCAGCCAAGCAGCCAGAAAACAGTTGCTAAGAGGTGAAAAGTCAAAGCTGAGATTTAGGCTTCATTGTCACCCTGGAGAGAAAATTGGAGCTCAGGTTCATAAATGCCAGACATTCCATTGAGACCCTGAAAGTTTCATGGGTATGGACAAACCAGAGAAAGGCCAGGCTTGATTAGATCAAGGTGATTTGCTCATGTTCTACCTGCTTGCTAAAGAGGAATAAATATCTTTAGAGGAAGATAGTCATAATCCAGAATTTCCTCAATTTTTTACTAGGTGATGACTGGCATTCAACAACAAAAAATTACTAAGTGTGTTAAGAAAAAGAACTAAATGACAGAAAACTAAGAGAAACAACAGATAATAAGACCCAGAGATATTCCAAACATTGAAGTTATGAGAAAAAAACCTCTAAAATAACTATGACTAATATATTTAAGAAGACAGATGAAAAGATTGAAGTTTTTAAAAATAATGAAATTTAAATCAAAAACTAAAAAGTATAATGTTTAAGAGGTGGGTTTAGACACAGTAGAAGAGATGATTAGTGAATGGGAAGATATGGCAGTAGAAAATATCCAGGCTAAAGCTTAGAGAACCAAAAAAAAAATGCAAAAAATGAGTAACAGTGAAAATGTTAACCTAAATGTAACTGGATCCACAGACATAAAGGCAAGAGAATGGGTCAGTAATCTCATTTGAAGATATATTAACTACGACTTTTCCCAACTGACCAAAAACAATCAAGTCATAGACTGGATAAACGATTCAAATGACAAGTAGCATTTGAGGAAGAAGCCACTGTCTACACCACCATACTCAGCAACATCATAGATAAACCTCTGGAAAAATAAGACCTCTTGAAGTATTTCAGATTCTAAAGGAACAACAATTAAATTGACAGCTAATTTTCCACAAGAAAAAAGATAGTGCAATGGTGTCTTTAAATGCTGAAAGATAATAACTGCCAATTTAGAATTCTATTTCCAGTAAATATATCCCTCAGAAATGAGGATGGATCAATGCCTCTTAGACAAACATATAAACTAAATTTATTGCCCACAGAACCACATTAAAAATACACCTAGGGAACTATTCAGGTAGGAAAAAAAATGTGCTCAAATGGAACCATATGAATGTAGGAAGGAATGAAGAGCACCTGAAGGGGAAAACAAAGAATTGAACCTACATTAACATAGAATGCTTAAAGCAACAGCAAAAATACCTTACAAGGTTTAAAATAAACATTAATTAAAATCTGTGAATACAATAAAAAAATAGGGGTCATAAATGATTTTAAATGTTCTAGATTCTTAACATTACTCAGGACATGGTAAAAGTACTAAATATAGACCAAATAAGTCAGTATGCATGTTATCTTCAGGGTAACTGCCTAAAATTATAAAAATTATAAAAAGAGACTATATTACTATCAGGTTAATAGAAAGAAAAATATAATAATAAAATAATTACACCAGAAGAAGTCGAGAAAGAACAACAAAAAAAGAACAACACAAAAGACAAATATAATATACATAGTAATATAGTAGATTTAAATGCAAATACACTCATGTGTCACTAAATGATGGAGAAACATATTCTGAGAAATGTGTGATTAGGCGATTTTATTGTGTAAATGTTATAGAGTCTACTTATACAAACTTAGATGGTATAGCCTACTACATACCTAAGCTATATAGTGTAGCTTATTGCTCCTAAGCTACAAACTTGTATGGCGTGTTATTGTGCTGAATACTAAAGGCAATTATAACACGATGATAAGTATTTGTCTATTAAAACACTTGTAAACATAGAAAAGGTACAGTAAAAATACGATATTACAATCTTATGCATATACTGTTGTATATGCAGTCCATCGTTGACTGAAACATCATTATGTGGCACATGACTACATATTAGTAGTTAAATTAAATAACAGTGGCCTAAAATTTCCAATTGAAAGATAAGAATTGTCAGCTCAGATTATAAAAATAAAAACAAACAAGCAAAAACAATTTTTATTGTGAAGAGAGATCTTTAATATAAAAACATGGAAATGTTGAAATTAAAAGTATGGAAAAAGTTACAGGTAAACACTAGTCTAAATAAGCTTGAGATAGCTACACAGGAGATAGACCTATCTTCAATTTGGGAACGTGTAATAACAAAGTAATCATTAAAAGTTACATAATTTAAAGGAGAAATAGATGAATTCATAATTATCGTGAGATATTTCACATACCACTTATCCCCATGTGACATGATTTCAAGTCTTTTAACCATCCTGCTTCTCTAGTTGGTCAATAAACTCATAAGATGTGACACTGCCTCATCTGCCTTCTACTTGTTCTCATTGATAACCAAATCGAAGTGGTTCGCTCTTATTCACCAGTCAAATAGCCTCTTCCATTAAGATTTGTAGAGCCTATATTATTTTGAAATTTTGAAGTTATTTAATCCTGATGCTCCAATTCTTAGGATATGTTTCCTTCTTCTAAGTGTATTCTAATTGAGCCACTGTTTCCATCATCTTCTCCATCAGTTGTCTACTCACACCCAAAGAGATAAATTCAGTCATTGGGTTCATGAATGAAGAGTGGATAATCACCTGTGACCAGTGTACCATTCACATATAAAGCACTGTCTACTGAGTATAACATGCAATAATTGTGATAGGCTAATTCTCAGAGCTTTTTCAGTGTGTGACAAAACGGGCCAGTCAAGAAGATGACAAAAGATAGGACTAGCCAGAGCTAGGATTGGGTATACTGACCTCACTATGAGGCTATCTCTAGGCTTAAAGAGGTTTACATTTTTGTACCCAGTATTTACACAGCTAAGATTTTTTAATGAGGAAATAAGAGTATAGAGAAGAAATTTATATAGGATAACTAGTCTCATTAGTAAAAAAGAGAAAACTTTCTCAATAGCTAGCTAGAGTGAAATTTTGCTTCCAGGCAAGATAGAGTAACAGGACTGAATTTGCCCTCCTGCCCAATAAAACAAAACAAACAAATAGACAAAAATATATTAAACAGTGGGATATCTCTAGAATATTGAACTGTAAGCAATGTAGGACAATGATCCCTGACAGATGAGAAACAAATAGGGTAAACTCTCTAATTTCCCCATCTTTCTGCATAATTTCCAAGCTGTGCTGTGTGGGAAGAGGAAGCCTAGACAGGGCCTGTTAAACTCCCTGCTTGAGTGAATGGAGCTTGTAGTTCATTGCAGCCTGAGGTCCTGTATATCTTTTTTGATGAGGTGTCTGTTCAGGTCTTTTGTCTGTTTTCAAATTGGGGTTTTTATTGTTGACTTTTAAGGGTTCTTTATATATTTCTGATAACAGTCCTTTATCAGATCAGTTGTTTGCAAATATTTTTTCCCAGTCCATGACCTTGTTTTCTCATTCCCTTGACAGTGACTTTCACAGAGCAGAGGTTTTTAATTTCAATAAAGTCCAGCTTATCAATTATTTCTTTCATGGAACATGCCTTTGGTGACATATCTAAAAAGTCATCACCACACCCAAGGTCATCCAGATTTTCTCCTATGTTATCTCCTAGGAGTTTTATACTTCTGCATTTTACATTTAGATCTATGATGTATTTTGGGTTAATTTTTTTTTTTTTTGGATAGAGTCTCGCTATTGTTGCCCAGTCTGGAGTGCAATGGCATGATCTTAGCTCACTGCAACCTCCGCCTGCTAGGTTCAAGCTATTCTCCTGCCTCAGCCTCCTGAGCAGCTAGGATAACAGGTGCCAGCCACTACACTCAGCTAATTTTTGTATTTTTAGTAGAAATGGGGTTTCACCATGTTGGCCAGGCTGGTCTCAAACTCCTGACCTCAGGTGATCCACCTGCCTCGGCCTCCCAAACTGCTAGGATTACAGACGTGTGCTACTGCACCCAGCCTTTGGGTTAATTTTTATGAAGGGCATAAGGTATGTGTCTAGAATCCTATTTTTCAAGTGACGTCCAGTTCTCCAAGTACCATTTGTTGAAAAGACCATAACAACATTTTAACAAATTGAGTGTAACAGCATATAAAAAGGATAATGCATCATGATCAAATCAGGTTTACCCCAGAAATAGAAAGCTGAGTTAGCATTTTAAAATCAATCAAAGGGGCCCGGCACAGTGGCTCATGCCTGTAATCCCAGCGCTTTGGGAGGCAGAGGCAGGTGGATCACTTGAGGTCAGGAGTTCGAGATCAGCTTGGCCAACATGGTAAAAACCTGTCTCTAGTAAAAACACAACAACAACAAAATTATCTGGGCATGGTGGCGTGTGTGCCTGTAATCCCAGCTACTTGGGAGGCTGAGGCATGAGAATCACTTGAACCTGGGAGGCAGAGGTTGCAGTGAGCTGAGATTGCACCACCGCACTCCAGCCTGGGTAACAGAGTGAGACTCTGTCTTTAAATAAATAAATAAATAATCAATCAGGACAATTCATCATATTAACAGACTAAAGAAGAAAAGCTATATGATCATCTTAGCAAATGCAGAAAAAGCATGTGCTAAAAGCCTAACTTGGTTTCTGATAAAAACAACACTCAGCACACTAGAAATACAAGGGAATTTACTCAGTCTCATAAAGGCTATGAGTATTAGAAATGCAAAATCTCAGACCTCACCCCAGACCCACCGAATCAGAATCTGAGTTCTAACAAGATCCCTGGTGAGTTGATGCACATTAAAACTCGAGCAGCATTAGAACAGTGTTTCACAGCCTTGGGCCCATTTTAGCATCTCTTGGGAAGGTTTTGAATATCCTTCCTAATACTTAGTAGTAAAAAACTGAAAGCTCTCCCACTGTGATCTGGAACAAGCCAAGGATGCCCACTCTCTCCAGTGCTATTTCACATTGTATTGGATAGTCTAACCAGTGAAATAAGGTAAGAAAAAATAAATGAAAGGCATCCAGTTTGGGAAGGTAGAAGTAAAATCCTCTTTATCCACAGATGACATTATCTTCTTTGTAGGAAATCTTATATGGTCTACAAATTAACTGTGTGCTTAGCAAGTTTGAGGATACAAGATCACTACATGAAAATCTATTTCTACATAGTAGCAAAGAAAAATTAGAAATTAAAATTTAAAAACAGTATGTTTACAAGAACATCAAACATATATGAAATACTTGGGAATAAATCCAACAAAAGATATGCAAGACCTCTACATTAAAAACTACAAACATTGCTGAAAGAAATTAAGAAGACCTAAACATATGAAGAGAAATGCTATGTTCATGGATTGGAACACTCAATGTTACTAAAATATCAATTCTCCCCAAATTGATCTCTAAATATAACACAATCTCAATTAAAATTTCAGCAGACTTTCTTTTTGTAGAAATTAAACAAGCTGATTCTAAAGTTCATTTGGAAATTCAAAGAACCTAGACTAACCAAAACAAAATTGAAAATGAGGAACAGGCCGCGTGCGGTGGCTCACACCTTTAATCCCAGCACTTTGGGAGGCCAAGGCGGGTGGATCACAAGGTCAGGAGATCAAGACCATCCTGGCTAACATGGTGAAACCCTGTCTCTACTAAAAATACAAACCAATTAGCTGGGTGTGGTGGTGGGTGCCTGTAGTCCCAGCTACTCGGGAGGCTGAGGCAGGAGAATGGCATGAACCTGGGTGGCAGAGCTTGCAGTGAGCCGAGATCATGCCACTGCACTCCAGCCTGGGCGACAGAGCAAGACTCCATCTCAAAACCAAAACAAAACAAAACAAAAATGAAGAACAAGGCTGGAGAATTCCCACTACCTCATTTCTATGCTAAATTTAAAGCTGTAGTAACCAAGCCAGTGAAGTAGTGTGTCTAGATAGGAAAACATGAAAAGCAACAGAACAGAAAGTCCATAAATAAACCTATACAGAGGTAAATAGCTGATTTTTGACAAAATTTCAAGAGAATTCAGTGGAGAATGGATTGGCTTTCCAACAACTACTGAAACAGTTGAATGTCCATATGAAAATAAACTTTGACCATACCTTGCACATGATGATAGATCTTAATGTAAAATTTAAAACTATCATAATTTTAGAAGTAAACATAGAAGAAAATTACTGTGAACTTGGGTTAGGCAAAGGGTTTTTAGATACAATATCAAAAGTACAATCCACAAAAGGAGAAATTGATATATTGGACTTCATCCAAAGTAAGAACTTGTTTCTCTTCAAAAGGCAACATTAAGAGAATTAAAAGACACACCATAGACTGAGAGAAAATATTTGAAAGTCAAATTACATTTATCCAGTATGTCCAGAGAACTTTCAAAATGTAATAATAGGAAAACAACTCAATGAAAAATGGACAAAACATTAGAACAGACACTTAGACAGAGATTCCAAATAAGTACATGAAAGGACCCTCAACATTATTAGGAAAATGCGACTTAAAACCACAATGAGATACCACTATACATTTATTGGAATGTCTAAAATTAAAAAAGACTGAACATAACAAGTGTTGATGCATATGTGGAGCATAAGGAACTCTCCTATACTGCTTTTGGAAATATAAAATGCCACTTTGGAAAATAATTGAGGGTTTTCTTAAAAACTTTAACATACATCTTGCATATGACCCAGACATTACACTCCGAGGTATTCATCCCAGAGAAATGAAATTCATAAAAGGCTTGTATATGAGTACTCATAAAAGCATTATTTGCATGACCCCTAAACTGGAAATAACCTAAATATCCCTCACCAGGTGAGTGCAAGAACAATAAAAAGAATGAACATTTGACACGTGAAACGATTTGGATAAATTTCAAGATAATTGTGTTGATTGAAAGAAGCCAGACCAAAAAAAAAGTATATACTGTATGACTTCATTTGTATAAAATTCTAGAAAATGCAAACTTACCTATAATGAGAGAAAGCAGACTGATAGTTACCTGGGAACAGGGAGGGCACAGGGAGGGACAGGACAGAGTTATTATGAAAAAGCACAAAGAAAAATTGGGGAGGAGGTGACAGATATGTTTATTATCTTGGTTGTGATGGTTTCATGAGTATATACATATGTCAACACTTATCAAATTATACACTTTAAATATGTGCAGTTTACTGTATGTCAATTATACCTCAAGTTGCCAAGAAAAGCGAGCACTGAATTTCGCATAGCAGCATGATCATTACATCCTAAGGTGGTATTACTCAAATGGAGCAGATGCTAGTACAAATTCCCATCCAGAACTACCACCCAGCTTGTTGGATCTGGGCCCCTCTAGTTTTCTACTGATCCTGTCCCCCAAAGAAGCTTCAAGTTTGGGTCTTTCACCACATTCTGTTCTGTTGATATTCATAGATTGACCCTAGAAGTGGCAATCACCCTATTTCTATCATTGCTGAAACTGTGCTCTCACTGAAAAAAATATAATATTAACTCCCTGGAGGCACAAATTGAGAGGGACAGTTGTTCACATGGAGGGGAGGATAATGTCATAGAACATTGGCTTTGGAGTTGATGAACACCACTTGCTAGCTACATAATCTTGGGTAAGTCTCTCTACCTCTCCAAGCCTCGGTTTTCTCGTTTTAAAAGTATTTAACAATTCCTACCTGACAGGATTGTCTTCAAGGTACATATGAAAGACTGAAGCAGAATATCAGGCATGAGGGAGGAACACAGTAGGAATGACTGTCTCCTTTGTGCTGTTGTTCAAAGTGCTCCCCTTAAGCCACGATTGTACAAACTCCCGTTATCATGCTGTCGGGACTCCAGCTGAAGCCTCCGATGTAAACTGTAAATGAGGTTCTAAGCGAGTGGGTCTCAAGCTTAGCTACACATTAGAATCACCTGGGGAGATTAAAAAACCACATAACAACCCAAAAAACCTGATGTTTGCATTCCACCATCAGAGATTTTGATGAGTTGATGGCACAGTTTGACATTGGGATGTTCAAAAGCTTCCCGGGAGATGTTAAAATAGGGCCAAGGCTGTGAAACACTTCTAATGCTGCTCGAGTTTTAACGTGCATCAACTCATTGGGGATCTTGTTAAAACTCAGATTCTGATTCAGTGGGTCTGGGGTGAAGTCTGAGATCCTGCGTTTTTAATAGGCTACCAGCTGATGCTGATGCTGTTGATCCTGGGATGACATTTTGGGTAGAAAAACTAACCCATGGGGAGCATTAGAATCACCTGGGGATCTTTTCAAAGCTGAGAATTCCTAGATCTTCCCCTGAGATGGGGCCCCAGCATTGGCACTTCTTTTATAGGCCAGCCAGATAAGCCTGATGTATTTCTCTTAGGAAGAACCATGGATCTAGTCTGACCTTTTACGTGTGAGAACACTACCCCCAAGAGGGTGTACGACCCTTGTCCTGATGTAACTTTCTCCCAAGAAAGTTTGTTAGTGAATGAAGTGTATTTTCAATGGGAACATATTCCGGTGTGTGGGTCCCCAGTGCTGACTGGGGACTACAATTTGCAGTGTGAGTCGAGCACGAAGGTTTCATTAACACATAGCTCAGAACCTAGCTGTGGAGCAGCCTGTGTGATGAATGGGGTCTCAGGTTCTACTTGAAGCATTATCACATAATATATCAGTTTTATGTCAAATGAACTGATGGTTTTATGGCCTTTCCATTCAATTTGATAGGGCCCTTGTCACAGGCTCTTTCTAATCATGCTAGAGGGCATTTTTTGGTGGCGATGACATAGTGATTTATAAAACCCACTTCATGCATCAGCCACATATATGTAAATCAGAAAAATTTCCTTCTGGGAAAAGGTGTCATTGCCATTCTGTGATAAATAGATGCATAGTCAATGAGCAGACATTCATCAAGACACAGATTTGAATTCACGTTTCTATGTACCAAGTAATTAGCGTCGTGTCTAGGAAGTAGTTTTGTAAGGCAGGACCCTCCCAAATGGAAGACTTGCAGCATGTGAGTTGAGTTTGCTGCCAACTTGACCTTCAAGGTGCTGGAGCAAGATGGCTGGAAACTCAGCTGGAGGTATGGGAGCATCAGCCTTGAGGGTGAAGGAGGGGAAGGGGTGCTTAAAGGAAGCACCACAGACAGAAGAAGAAAAGACATACTTTTAATGTGTGTGTTTCAGGGTTGCTATAGAACTTAATATTATTTTCCTTATTTAGTCCTCAAATCATGGTGCAAGGTAGGAGTTATCTACATCTTAAAGAAAGAAAACTAAAGTGAGAACTCATCTAAGACTTCAACCTAGGTCAGTGTGACTCCAAAGCCCATGCTCTTTCTGCTACACGACAATGTTTTCGCAAAAGCACCTGCACGTCAGCATAAGTGAATTATGTCCCTGTGATACCAGTTTTGCTGAGACCAGATTGCAACTCTCAGCAATTGTACCTGCCATCTGCTTCCTGTGCCCAGCCTTGAATCTGTAAAGACATGACATCAGAAGTGTTAATGCTATATATAGCTTAAAAGGCTTTAAAAAAATTAAAGAAAAATTCTCTTTAATTGATGAAATCAAAGTGTCAAATATTCCTCATTCTTAGCTACTTGTATGAAATAAAATCATGGGTAAATGTCAAAACTTGAAATAATTGGCCACAGAAATAAAATAAATCTGATAGAAATATTTTTATTACCTAAATACTTGTGAAGTGAGTTGGAGGGAGATCCACAACATTCTCTTCATAGGCTAACTGAGATATTATACCTAAGAAAGAGCAATAACATTTTTTTAAAAAAGAGCAATTAACTTTTACAAAGCTTTCAACATTTGCACATCACTTTCACTAATACCGTGTGATCCTCACATCACTTCTGTGATGTTGGTAGGTATGATTTGATCCATTATTAGATAAGGAAATCAAGGCTTAGAGACTCAGAAATTGGGATTCCACTCTCAGAAATGCTCACACTGCCAGTGATCAGAAGACTAGTCTTCACACTCTAAATCCCACATGTTTTTCACTGCTCAAGAGAATATATTATTTAAAAACTACTTTTCTACTTTTCCAAGTCTCTGTATAGAAGCAAGAACATATTTACTCCAATAATTACAGTAGCAGAGTATATTCTTCTTTGCAGAAAGAGATTTGTTGACTCAAATATTTGATTGGGGACATCCTATATAATTTGGGGCCCAGAATGTTATCCTGAATTGGATATTACATATCTCTGTTTTCTCTATTTTCTCTCTAAATATAAAACTAAAGGTGAACATTTGGTACACAGAAAAAAAAAAAAATCCCAGCGGCATCTGACCTCTAAATTTAGTTAGAGAAAATAAAGTCCCCACAAAATAAAGCAATACAAAAATGGGGAAGAGAGATTACGGGTCTCTCTTCAGCTGGCAGAAGAGAGGGCAGTACTGAAAGCAATCAAATCAATAGATTTTTGGCAAAAAAATTTTTTTAATTTGAATTTTTTTAATTTAAAAAATATATAGGGTGTCCCCAATCAAATATCTGAGTCAACAAATCTCTCTCTACATAAAAGAATATACTCTGCTGTAATTATTGGAGTAAATATGTTCTTGCTTCTATATGGAGACTTGGAAAAGCAGAAAAGTAGTTTTTTGTTTTGTTTTGTTTTTTGTTTTTGTTTTGTTTTGTTTTTTTGTTTTTTGTTTTTGTTTTTGAGACGGAGTCTCTGTCTCTTGCCCAGGCTGAAGTGCAGTGGCACGATCTCAGCTTAATGCAAGATCCGCCTCCCGGGTTCAGGCCATTCTCCTGACTCAGCCTCCCGAGCAGCAGGGACTACTGGCGCCTGCCACCACGCCCGGCTAATTTTTTTTATTTTTAGTAGAGACAGGGGTTTCACTGTGTTAGCCAGGATGGTCTTGATATCCTGACCTCGTAATCCACCCGCCTCGGCCTCCCAAAGTGCTGAGATTACAGGCGTGAGCCACTGCACCCAGCCGAAAAGTAGTTTTTAAAGACTGTATTTTCTTGAGCAGTGAGAAACGTGGGGTTTAGAATGTGAAGACTAGTCTTTTGATCACTGGCAGTGTGAGCACTTCTGAGAGTGGAATCCCAATTTCTGAGTCTCTGCGCCTTGACTTCCTTATCTAATAATGGATTAAATCATACCTACCAACATCACAGAAGTGAGCAAAGAAGAAGTATAGCTCAAAGGACTGGTTTGGGGAAGGAATTCTGAGTCTTCCTTGATGTCAAGAATATTTGCTGCTTTTATCCTGAGGTGTCTGGCTGGGGTGGAATAAAAGTGTCTCTTATCAGGATATTTATTGAGAAGACTGAGTTCAAACTTTGCAGACAGGAGAGGCAGTAGTCTGATTGGGGACACCCTATATAAATTTAAAGTCAATAAATCTATTACCAGATATTTAGGATTGCTTTCTACATTAACCAAGGGCAGTAACTGAAAATAATCAAGACCAAGTTCAGATAAAAGCAATCATTGGGGTTTAAATATGAGGCAACATAGATTACAGGTGATAGTGATGGAATGACAAGAAGAGAGAAGATCTGAGTTCTAGTCTTGCCTCTCCCGCTAATTCCTTTTTGGCTTTGAACAAGTTACTGAAACTCCCTGGGCTCAGGTCTCTGTTGTGGAGGGGTGCAGACTGGGAAAGGAGTGTGAGCAAAACCTAGGGAAGCAAAGTAGCTCTGTGATGTGCCAGGCAAGCCCCCTCCAAAGTAGTCTGAAGCAGTGGTTATCCAGAGCAGAGCAGAAAGCTGGGAAGCCCTTTGGGCAGTGGAGTGGTCTGCAACCTGGCTGGGTAGGTAGCATGTGTAGATGGTGGTGGAGACACCCACATTCCAGAGCTGCTCCAAACAATCTGGAAGCCACCTTGATGATAGAAACCACTGATCACATAGGAATATAGAGAAGTTGTATGAGACACCAAGTTTCTACTCCTCTCTTTTGCCACTATTTTCAGCTAAATGGATGACTAAGTAATAATACTGCTATGTTTAAGCCAGTCATCACATGCATTTTCTTCCCCCCCCATTGTTTATTTATTGCTTATTTTTGTGTATTTATTTATTTTTATTTATAGAGATAAGGTCTCGCTGTGTCACCCAAGCTGGAGTGCAGTGGCGGGATCACAGTTCACTGAAGCCTCAACCTCCCAGGTTCAGGCCATCCTTCTGCCTCAGCCTCCTACATGCTGAGACTACAGGCACATGCTGCAACCACATCTGGCTAATCAAAAAAAAAATTCGCAGAGATAGATTTTCACTGTGTCACCCAAGCTGGTCTCAAACTCCTGGGCTCAAGCAGTCCTCCTGCCTCATCCTCCCAAAGTGTTGGGATTACAGGCATGAGCCACTGCACCTGGCCTCCTGCATGCATTTTTAAATTTGATCCTTATGTTCATGAAGTGGGATAATCAGTTCCATTTTACAAATGAGGAAAGGAGCTTAGAGAGGTTAAGATATTTTCCCCAGTATCTCTTTAGAACGGGCGTTTGAACCCAGGGGCAGTCTGCCTGCAGTTAAATCAATGATTGATCATAATCAACATTGTAGCAAATTTCAGAAAGCATATAAAGAAAAAAATAAATAATCATCCCAGATTTTATCACCCACAGACACCCAGCTTGGTTTGTAAAAAACTTTAAGTCAAAATTTATTTTTAATGGCTGTGTGGTATTTCATTTTACGTATGTTTTAAGTTTATCCAATAAATCTGTTACCAGATATTTAGGATTGCTTTCTACGTTTTTTTTTTTGAGCCTCTTACCCAAGGCTGGAGTGCAGAGATGCAATCACAGCTCACTGCAATGCAATGTCTGCCTCCCAGGCTCAAGTGATGCTCCCACCTCAGCCTCCCAAGGAGCTGGGACCATGCCCTGCTAATTTTTGGTATTTTTGGTGGAGACGGGGTTTCACCATGTTGCCCAGGCTGGTCTCAAATTCCTGAGCTCAAGTGATCTGCCCACCTCAGCCTTCCAAAGTGCTGGGATTATAGGCGTGAGCCACCGTGCCCAGCCTATTTTTTACAATTTTAAACAGTGCCATAGGAACAATGTTGCATATACTTTGGGGCTCTCATTCAATTGTCTCCTCAGGAGCAATTGCTAGAAATGAGGTTGCTGTTTTGAAAAATATGCTTTTTTAAAAGAAATGTAAAAGATTGTGTTGTCAGATTGTCTTTTTGGAAAAAGCAGAATCAGTTCCCCTCTTAATAGCAGTAGGTGAGTGCCCATTTCCTTACACATCCACAATAAGTCTAGATAATACTATTCTTTAAATCCTTGCCAATCTGATAAATGAAAAATGTTATCTCATTTTAATTTGCACTTAATTACCAGTGAGGCTGAATGCCTAATATCAAGAGAGTGATTTTTTTTTCATTTTATATTCACAGCTATAGCATCCTTGTATGGGCTTCAAAGATAACAGAAATCATGGTGACTGAACTAGCACGAATCACAAGAGAACGTGCAATTCAACATTATCATTCACCTTCTGTGTACTTAAGTGTTGAAAGTGCTTCTTCTCTACAAGACAGTGACATCTTAGAAAGGAGAGATTTCACTTTGTTCGTCTTCTCCAGAAAGTCCTACTTTCCTCGGGCTCTTAAGGCATACAGAGTCATCTATGAAACTCTTCCAACTTATCAAAAGAGGAGGGGGCTTGCCTGGTACATCACAGAGCTACTTTGCTTCCCTAGGTTTTGCTTATGCTCCTTTCCCAGTCTGCACCCCTCCACAACAGAGAACTGAGCCCAGGGAGTTTCAGTAACTTGTCCAAAGCCAAAAACTAATTAGTGGGAGAGGCAAGACTAGAACTCAAATCTTCTCTGTTTTTGTCATTCCATTGCTATTGCCTGTAATCTGTGTTTCCTCAAATTTAAACCTCAGTGATTGCTTTATATCTGAACTTGGTCTTGATTATTTTCACTTACTGCCCTAGGTTGATTATAGCTCTCCAAGTAGACTTTTAGCATTTCCAGAAAAGAAAATTTTACTCTGTTGATCTTTCCATCCATAGTACCTTCAAGCTGCCAGGGCTAGCCAATCTTCAATAAATATTTGCTCGGGGGAGGCCAGGTCTATGTCAGTTGCTCTGATACAGTTCTTATCCTTTCCAGAGTGAAACTCCTCAAAAATCTCCTAGACGGTTGCTTTTTAAAATATTAAAAGTCAGGCACATTTCCAGTTCTCTTGCTTCAGAATTTTTGTACCCTCATTGGCTGTGTAGCACTCTTTTAAATCAAAACATTGGGAAGTTGTTATGTGCTCTTATTTTATCTTGCATTTTAAAGGAAATGACTTTTTCTCTCTGCTGAGGCATTTCTTTAATAGTCACATGGTGATTTGACATGCATTCAATTTGGTCTGAGCTACATTTGGTGATTTTTTTTTTGTTTTTTACTTTTAACGTTATTAGAATCTGTAGTATTTCTCTTTAGATGAACAAGTGATTAAAAACAACAATACGAAAACACCTCTTTCCTTTACAGTCACTAACTTGACAGTTTAAAATGAAAAAAAAATTTCAATTATAACCAACACTAACATTTAATTCCAATTTCCATGTAACATTATAGAACCTGCATTTAAACAACCATGGAATGCTTAATTCTTGTAGGAGGAAAGACAAAGCTAAAAAACACCAATGAGGAGTTAAAAAAAATTGTGCTAATCACAGTTGCTTTTCCTGATGGGGAGGAGGAAAGAAAAAATACCATTTTCATTAAACCACCCAGAGCCAGTAAAATCAACTATGACCAGAGAATTTCCTGTGGATGGCCCTCTCATTTCCTGTCTGAATTATACTACAGAGATGGTTACCAGATAAAATACCTAGAATTGATTTAGAGTGGGCAGTGCTTCTTCAGCAGTCTTTATTATAAATGTTAATTCTGGGATCTTTGCCATCCGTGGGGCTTTAGCAGATAAATAACACCATTTTTCTTCAGTGTTCACGCTCAGGTGTAAGGCTCACTGAAAGGGAGCTGAGATTTATAGGTGATGTAATTTAGAATTCTAAGCCCATAAGTTAATGCTTTAGAAATGTCTTCTTTATCTTTTCTGGGATTACAAATGGACAGATCCCTGGCACAGCTCCTCATCTTACTTGGTCTCTCTTCTGCTGAAGACCTTATTCTGCCAGATTCATCACTGTTTGCAGTAGAAAAAGCAATGATTTGGTGTAGACAAGAATGAGAAGATTAATGTCAATGACAGAGCAGTGTTTTTGAAATGTCACCTCCAGTGAGATAAATAATGCTATAGAGCACTTACTAGGTACTAGGTCTTGCACTGGTACTTCGGAAAATGGTACGTAAAACGTGTTTAAATTACATAAGCAGTTAAAGCTAATATTTATGTGATGTTTTACATATATTAATCCATTAATTCATTTAATTCTTTCAACAGCCCTATGAGGTATGCACTCCTATTTTATAGATCAGGAAACTGAGGCATAGTAGAGAGATTATGCAACAATTTCAAGTTTACACAAAAAGTAAGCGGCAAAAGCAGAATTGGAAGTCAGCTCTCCTGTTTCCAGAGGCCGTGATTTAACCGCTACCATTTATAAAAGAGTTGAGCTCTTACAGAGAGAGGAAATCCCACTTGATTACACCGCAAATCTGAGCTCCTCCCGTCATGTTTTTCTATGCATTTATGTGCATACACTCACATGTGAATACATTATATGTTTTGTTGCTTTTTGGTTACTGTTGATTTCTTTAATATAAATATTTACTTGTTATACACACTTTATTATTTTAGAATAAAACCCCTTGAATCATCTGTTTTATCAGGGCTCTTTTTGATCATTTATTTAGCTGGTTCTCCCTTTTTCCTATGTGTAGATTCTTTGCTGTCTGTTTTTGTTGAAGAGTGGGCAGCCGGACAGTTCTGTAGATGCTGAGTGTGTGTGGGCACAGCAGCTCCCCACTAGTGGCTTCACTGGAGGGGACTGGCCATGAGACAGCCTTTGTGCCATCAGGTAGGCACGCTGGCAATGACCACCTTCTTTTGGATTGTAGCTTACCAGTGCAGGTCCCCAAATGTTAGTAGGGTCATGGCTTCTGTTTTCAAACAAACAAACAACAACAATAAAAAAACAAAAAAACCTTGAAATAGAAAATTTTCCTACACAGGCTAAAAATTGCTTCACCTTTTTCATCCTAATCCCTAAATTCAAATAATTGCAAACAGAACTTTTAGTGACCTTGGGAATGTTATTTAACTTTTATAAATTATGTTAATCTGATTTGAAAAATGGGAAATGTCCTCACAAAGCTGACATAAGAAACATAACTTCAGAATAATAATAAGAAAGGTAGCATTTTGTTGTCTTCACATGTATACATCATTTAAATCTTACAATAACACCGTTGATTAGTGTATTATATATCCATTTTCAAATACAAGGAAACTGAAGTTTAAGGTGTTAAATAACTTGCCTCAGATAACTCAACAGTTAGTGTAGCCTGACTAATTCCAGGACCATGGTGCTTAGGGCATAGTAGAGGCTCAATAAATGTTAGCTCTCTTGCAGTGATAAAAACGTAAGCTGTAGACTGGGAGCGGTGGCTCACGCCTCTAATCCCAGCACTTTGGGAGGCAGAGGCGGGCAGATCACGAGGTCAGGAGTTCGAGATCAGCCTGGCCAAGATGGTGAAACCCCATCTCTACTAAAAATACAAAAATTAGCCGGGCATGGTGGCGGGCACTTGTAATCCCAGCTACTTGGGAGGCTGAGGCAGGAGAATCACTTGAACCCAGGAGGTGGAGGTTGCAGTGAGCTGAGATTGTGCCACTCTACCCTAGCCTGGGTGATAGAGCAACAGTCCGTAAAAAAAAAACAAAAAACCTAAGTTGTGGTTGAGGTGATGGGAATGAAAAAGAAGGAATGATATGGTAAACAAGTAAGTAGTGGAGATTTTTAAAATGCATAGTACACACAGACACGTTTTATAAAGTGGCTAGTGGAGCCTATGTAGTAGTAGGTCTGAAAGGGTTAAACAGAGATGCTCTGAAGCTGCCGTAGGCAAGGAATCCATTTCACAGGAGCATTTGGTATCTGATGCTAAACACTGCTGAGTTTCCTTCCAAAGTGGGATACATTTCAGCTTCTACCCTGGAATGTGGTAGTAACTTACTGCTCCACCTCTTGTGTCTTGCATCTCCACGTATATCTTCTTTCAACTGCCCATGAGATCTGTCCAAAGGACAAATCTGAATTGCTTTCTTAAAACATACATAAACAAAACATATATAAACAAGAGAGGTTTAACTGACTCACAGTTCTGTATGACCGGGGAGGCCTCAGGACACTTATAATCATGGCAGAAGGTGAAGGGGAATCACTTGAGTCCAGGAGGCCACTACACTCCAGCCTGGGTGACAGAGTGAGAACCTGTCTCTTAAAAGAATTTAAAAATGATAATAAGTCAATTTTTCACAAAAGCCAGGCATGTGGGGGGTAATATTACGCCAGGGCATGAATATTGAGATGTGGGAATAATTGGAGACTGTCTTGGAGGCTGCCTACCACCCAGATATATTTAAAGCTTTTTATTCAAAGCCTGATTTATAAAATCTAGTACCATCCCTACCATCACCCAATTACTGGTCTATCTAGCATAATCTGTCTTACCACTTTCTCACTCTAAGTTCCAATAATACAAAACTGCTGGTGGCCATTCTCCTAATCTCCTTGTATTAGTCCATTCTCACACTGCTATAGAGAAATACCTGAGACTGGGTAATGTATAAAGAAAAGAAGTTTAATTGACTCACAGTTCCATATGGCTGGGGAGGCCTCAGGAAATGTAAAATCATGGCAGAAGGGGAAGCAGGCCCCTTCTTCACAAGGCAGCAGGAGAGAGAAGTGATGGAGAAACTTCCAAACCCTTATAAAACCATCAGATCTCGTGAGAACTCACTCACTATCATGAGAACAGCTTGGGGGAAACTGCCCCCATGATCCAATCACCTCCCTCTCTCGACAGATGAAATTACAGGTCCCTCCCTCAACATGGGGAGATTACAAGATGAGATTTGGGTGGGGACACAGAGCCAAATCATATCACCCCCTCCACCCACAATCACTGGGCTGCCTGAGCTTCCTGTCTGGTACCCTCATTTCCTCATCCTCCTATGGCTAATGCTGCTTCATCTTTTTAAGACAAGTTCTGGTGTCACCTCCTCTAGGTACCCTCCCTGACCTTCAACCTGAGTTAGATATTGCTCACTTGTGTCATTGAACCTGGGACACCCCTTCAACCTAGCATTTACTGCACTGTTTTGAAATTATATCAGTCTGACTATTCTATGAACAGCTGAGTGCGGGTGCAATATCCTCATCACTGAGATCTGCCAAATGTCTAGCACCTACCAAAATGTCTAGTGCACCATAGGTGCTTAAGAAACATTTGCTAAAAATATTTTTAACCAACCACATTTGCAACAGTTCATGAGGCCTTCCTGGTTTGAACTCCAGTTATTGCCCACAAAGAAAAAAGTAAACTTGAGAAAGTAATCTGTGTTTTGGGTCAACCTTTTCTTTGTCTAAGATATAAAAATTCTACCAATCATCTTGTGGGTGTCCTCTCATTGTTTCTGTTCCTTCTAGGCGTGGGCTGGGATGTCACTTTCTTATCCTAAGATCTCTAAGATCTCTAAGGCTGAGACAGCTATGTCCATACGGCTTGCTTAGCTGTGTGTTGTTTGCACTCCCAAATCCTCACCATATGAGAAAGATGGGCTTTCCAAGTGTCTATGTGAGCTGGTGACGGTTAATGACTTGCCGTGAAGGGTATGAGCCAGCCTGTGGCCCCAAGGTCTCTGTCTGAAGAGGAGAACTATCCTACATGCCCTAGGTGATGGTGAAGCAGCAGATGTGGCCAGAAACAAACAAAAATATGAGGGTGTGACTTGTGCTAAAACCACCCATGGGCCCTGATAGGCTCACAAGCCTCATAGGCAAAGGATGGTTTATATTCCACTTCATGCCTCTGAAACCTAAGTAGTACTCAGAACAATGTTCAATTAAAGTTTTGTGAATAGTGAGGGGACTGGGATTACTAGGTATTCATCTTGGTTCTCACAGCACAAGTCCCCTTGAGATGAGATGAGAACAGTTGGGGTTTAGATATGGCTGGGGACATCCTATATGTCCTCATTCTTCTAGGCTTTTAGGAAATTTAACTCACTGGTTTTGGGGCTATCCACTTCAGGGTGGATTAAATGTCTTATATAAAGCTAAGGAACGAAAAAAAAATCCTTATTTATCATCAATCATTTACAAGAGACTCCTGTTGTCCCAACTTCATGGCACCTTTGGAGACACTAGTTGAGGTTACAGAATTATCTGGATGCTAGAATCTAGTCTCCCTGGTAAACATGCGGTACTTATCCTCTAAGGTGTTTTTACTTCATCTAAGTAAAGTAAGGAAGGAAAGTGAGGACACTCTTGCTGTGAAGCAGTTTCACTGTGCCCTTGTTATCACTTCAGCTCTAATATGGTTTTGTTCTGTGTCTCCACCCAAATCTCTTGTGGAATTGTCTTCTCCAGTGTTGGAGGAGGGGCCTGGTAGGAGGTGATTGAATCATGGGGGCGGACTTCCCCCTTGCTGTTCTCCTGATGGTTAGTGAGTTCTCAAGAGATCTGGTTGTTTAAAAGTGTGTGGCACTTCCCCCTTCTCTCTCTCTCTCTCCTGATCTGCCGTGTAAAGATGTGCCTCTTTCCCTTTCAGTTCCCGCCATGATTATATGTTTCCTGAGGCCTTCTCAGCCATGCTTCCTGTACAGCCTGTGGGACTGTGAATCAATTAAACCTCTTTTCTTCATAAATTACCCAGTCTCAGGCAGTTCTTGATAGCAATATGAGAACAAATGAATATAAGCCCGCTGCATCTTGGGCTGCAATTTCCATTTACTTGATAAGTCCAGTGAGACAGAACACTCACATAACAAGTAAAGTGAAACAACTTTATTACTCACCGATAGGCATCAAGGAGAGTAGAAGCCTAGGATTTAGGGTAAGATGGTCCCCCAAGGTTCAGGAAAACTTGCCAGGGTGCATGGAATCTTGTCTGTGCATGCCCCACATGCACTGCAGCTAAAGAACCCCGGAAGCAGACCATCCTGCAATTTATACCCTGGGAATGGCATGACTCAATGGGGTAAAGTGTTGAAGAACAACCTCTTTCTAGGAGAGACTGGAACAGAGCTTGAGCTGATCTGTCCAGTTCCACCTTACCTCAGAATGTTGAATTCTCAGCACGTTCTACGATTATTCTTGAGATCTACAAGTGAGAAAGGAGGGAGACCTGGGTTGGTCCAAGGCCACCTGGAGAACTGTCCTGCACCTGCTACTAGGAGTGCCTTCAGGCTTCTCTCCAACTGCCAGCCCAGGGAACTCTCTCCACCTGTTTTTACTAACACAAAATGTCTTTCAATCACTGCCCACTCAGTGAAACCTTGCTACTTCAGTGGGCTCACATTGGAAGAGTCATGTGCTTGGCACTACTTTGGTCCAGCCAAAGTCCTTGAAGCAAGAGTTGGCAAAACTTGGCCACCAGCTTGAAATGAGGGGGTAGGGGAAAAATGAGGAGAATAAACAGAAGGTGCTATTTTAATTCTCATCCACTATTCCTTAGGAAAATGATAGACTCAAACGAAGAGAAATTCAAAGACCATCTTTATTACCTGGGCATAGATGTCACAGGCAGAGGGGATAGGAGTTGAGAAGCCATAACTCATGTTACTTAGTGAGGGTTTTCTGATTGGGGTTGAAGTTTCTTTAGGCATCACAATAACATGGTCTTAGCTCTCATATCTCAGAGCAGGCAGTGACCCCATCCAAAACAACACACTGGCAGTGACAGATGGATTCCCATAGGACATCCCAGGAGCCACAGCCATAGCCGCAAGCATGACCAGTGACAGGGTACCCTGCATGGGGCATGGAGCAGAGACGTTGGAGCCCTTGGATTTGGAATTAGTAGTGCTATTTAAGAAGGGGGTGAGAAGTCAGAGGACAGAAGAGATGAACTTGAAGGAAGACAAATGACAAAATGTCTTTAAGAAAGAACAAAAGAGATTCTAATAGGAGAGATACTAATCACTAAATGCCTGACACCAGGATTGACACATAGAAAATACTCAGTAAGTGGAATTACACTTACTTAAATGTCTTTAAGAAAGAACAAAAGAGATACTAATAGAAGGAGAGGGAAGGAACAGAAACCAGGGATCTCTCAGCTTCACCCTCCAGGGGAAATAGGGATGAGAGAAGAAGAGTTGGGGACAGTGACTCAGACCCACTGGCCTGGCACAATGAGATGGTGGGTAGAAGCAGGAGCATGGGAATAGGAAAGTAGCCTGAGCTGGAGGGAGAGGGGAGTGTTCAGGCGATGTATTCCTCACTTAGTGAGGAATAATCTGCTACGACTTCCGATGCTAAGATAGAAAACACGTCGCTTAGAGTCACACACCCAGGCCAGGTGCGGTGGCTTAGGCCTATAATCCCAGCTACTTTGGGATGCCAGGATGGGCGGATCACCTGAGGTCAGGAGTTTGAGACCAGCCTGACCAATATGATGAAATCCCATCTCTACTAAAAATACAAAAGTTAGCCAGGTGTGGTGGCATATGCCTGTAGTCCCAGCTACTCAGGAGGCTGAGGCAGGAGAATTGCTTAAACCCAGGGGGCAGAGGTTGCAGTGAGACGAGATTGTGCCACTGCACTCCAGTCTGAGTGACAGAGCAAGACTCAGTCTCAAAAAATAAACAAATAAAAAATAGAGTCACACACCCCCTGTGGGAGAGAATGAGGGATAGATCAGAGGCCTTCATCGGCCACTTGTAATCTTCACCTACTCAAGTACCTGCAAGAAGTCACTGTTTCCAAGCTGAGATTATTCCAGCAACTTCTGGGCCAGGAATTCCATGAAGAGGAAAAACAAACTCTGCCATAATTGTTAGCTTCTGGGATTTAGGATGGACTGGGATGGATTTGGGGAAGGATCTGGGGATGGATTGGATAGAGGCAGAAGTCCAGGGAGCTGAGCATGGGTGGGGAAATGCCAGGTCTCTTACTATGGGAATCCTTTGTTGCCTCTATCTTCTCATCCACAGCTGATCCTGAGATGTGCTGGGCCTCCCCTGGAACCACCAGCTCAAGGGGGTGAAAATGAATAACAGTAGAAACAGCTTTACTTTTTATGTTCTGAGACAGAACAGGAAAAGACTAAGAAAATTGGGAAGATGGATGCTTCTGGAAAAGTAAGGGCTGAAAAGCCTTTTAGCCGGGTTATAGGAGGCTGAGGTTTCAGTAGACAGCTTGGAGAAGAAAAGATGGTAGGAGGAACATTGTACAGTCACTGATCAGATCTCAGTAAAGAGAGGCAGGGGCTGAGCTGAAACATTTCAGTCCAAGAAATGAGGACTCTTTGCCTCTTTACTCCCTGACCAGTGCAATAGTACCTGCAAAGAGTATTCCAGGAGGCGAGTACCACAAAGAATGCAGGGAGCATTATGAAGTGGCCTCTTGGAGGAGCCTCATTCTGTCAGGGTGGAACTTACCTCTTCAGGCAGCCTAGTCTTCTTCTCTTCTGAGTTCATTTCTGATATTTCCAGAAGTTCTTACTCCAAGCCAACCTTGTCTTGCCAAACAGCTTGCACAAACCCTCAAGTCTCTTTTATAATTCAGTGCAAGAACAGCTTGGCCACGATACTCTGTTTGTGGTCTGGGTCATTAACATGTACTGCAAAGAGCCCAGGTATAATCAGATGCTCCAGGTGGAGTAAAGTCATCTTCTATAGTCATTACCCAGATGTTATGTGAGTTGCTTGTATGCCATGGGCAGCTCACTGTCCTCTATCTTGGCTTGCTCCTTTTTCCTGACTTATCACATCCATGTGTGGCCTAAATCATTAGGGGGTTGCTACTGCTTAGCCTGTTCTAACTTACATACCAAAGAGCTATGGCCGGGCACGGTGGCTCACGCCTGTAATCCCAGAACTTTGGGAGGCCGAGGTGGGTGGATCGCCTGAGGTCAAGAGTTCAAGACCAGCCTGGCCAACATGATGAAACCTCGTCTTTACTAAAAATACAAAAATTAGCTATGCATGGTGGTGCACACCTGTAATCTCAGCTACTCGGGAGACTGAACCAGGAGAATCGCTTGAACTCAGGAGGCGGAGGTTGCACCAGCCTGGTCGACAGAAGCGAAACTCTGTCTCAAAAAAAAAAAAAAAAAAAAAGAGCTTGGCACATCTAACTATGAAGTACAGAGCATTTTCTGTACCTAGGACCATAATGTATGCTATATATGTTATAGTTCATTTTGGTCATCTCCCATATCTTTCTTTTCAAGGTTGTTTGTAATCTCCCAATTATTTCTGGCTTTTTTTTTTTTTTTTCATATTTTTAGATTAGCCAATGAGAAATGATCCCCTGATCATTCTGCGGGAAAACCTCAGCTACGATATAGCAATAGAATTATTTCAAAAGCCTGAGGCCAATGACCTTGTGACATCACAATTAAATAATATGCATTCATAATATGCATAACAAAGATAAGTACTTACAACAAAACACAAAGCAAAAGCCATATATCCAAGCCAGTGTGCCACACAGCACTTTACAAAGATTTCACCTAAGCCTGGTAATTTTTGTTCTTTGACATTTTTTGTTATTCCCAGATGGTTCCAATTTTGTCTTATGATCCCTAAGATTGCTCTGATTGAAACCATGGTCTTCTCACTGAACTCAGAGTGCCTCAGGGGAAAGAGGTTTAATATCCACTTTCATGGTGGTAATGTTCCTGTTGGTTAGAGACATTTTTAGGTATGAGATATATCTCAAACTGACAAATTTTCATACCAGAGCCCATTTTTATTTGAAGGGCTAGACATGGCTGTGATTCATAACCAGGTGGTGATTTCAGCTGCCCTTGTACTTGGGAGCATTGCAGAAGTTGATGCTCATCAATTACCTCTCATCCAACCATTCTTCTGAGGCTATTGGGCTGGAATTCAGTCAAAAATTCACCTGTCATGGAACAAGTTCACAGTTGAGAAACAGACCTCAATACTGTTAGTCCCTTATTGACTGGGTTGGTACTATTTTTATGCTCCATGGAATTCATTGCTCCCATACATAAAAAGAACATTATATTAATGCTATCATACCCTTAAAGATGAGCATTCAGCCAATCAGATAATAGGTAGTTTCTTACATTTTGCCCCAGTTTTTCAAGTCTCATAGCAACCTATCCAGTCCAATTCCTGATAAGTTGGGATATTTAAGACATTAAATCAATACCCAGTAAACATAGACATTTACAAGCTCAAGAACATAGTTTAAATATATCTGAGCCCAGGTGACTTTTCAAGCTCACTCATCTGAAGGGGCTTTCCTTTGCTGTGTCTGAAAGATGTTATCTTCCCAGCTCTACTCAGACATCCAGCACTCATTTCAATCACCCCTCGTCTGAGATGGAAGGGCTTATGAATATGATTAACAGTGGTGCATGTCATAAAGAAGTCCTTTAGTAGATGGTCCACTAGATATTGCTGTGCCCTGAAAAGTTCTGTCAGTTTTTAGGATTGGGTAACTGATCATGCTCATTCTAATTAGGGACAATCCACTTTACACTCTAGCAGTCTGTATCTCTTTCAGTCAGAATTACATGGTACTTGTTGTGATCCAAACCACAAATTCATTTAGAAGGCACTTGTAACCATCATGGTGACATCTTTGGTGTTTATCAGCCTGCTGTTGGTGGCTGGTGAAGAGCGGCAGGGCAGGCTGAGACTGGATGACTGTTGGGGTGCTTGTGGGTATAGGATTTTCTGATTCCATGATAATAGCTCACCTGCTTCTGATGGCTCCAGTGTAATCCACTTACTGAGTATTTTCTATGTGTCAATCATGGTGTCAGGCATTTAGTGTAAAAACCCCATCTAATCATTATAAAAATTCTATCAAGAAGGTAATATTATCCCCATTTTACAGAAAAGTCAACTGAAATTTCTAAAGGTTAAGTAAATCAACCAACTTTATGAAAGATCATGAATAGAGATGAGATTTGAAGGTCCATCTGTCTAATTGCAAAGACAATGCTCTCCACACAGCATGTATGTCTTACCTCTGAAATAAATACACAATACTAAGATTGTGTAATTAGCTCCCAGATCTCAGTTGTACTTCATTTAAGTTTCAGAGCATGATGTAGTTTATAAGAAAATATTGAACCCTCTACTATGTAAAACTTTCTGTCCTAAGCACTCTGGAGGATCTGGCACTGAGATTATTCAGAGAGAGCTTCAGAGGGGGATGGGATGTCTGCTCCTGGCCTTCAAGAACAGGTGGCTTTCTATAGGCAGGGATAAGGGATTGGGGATGGATAGTGGTGCCAGGAGGGCATTTTGGGTAGAGGAAATGGGTTGAACAAATACATAGGGAAAAAAGAACTGCATAGTGGATTAGAGCTCCAGGGAAAAGGCACATTTCAATGGAATGGAGATTCTCTAGAGAAAGGTTAGGAAATACGGTTGGAAGGGTCAATTGAAATTGATTGTGGAGGGCACCAGTGCAAAGCTGAAGGTGGTAAGCTTAGTCTGGCAGGCAGACTAAGGGGCGGGGGGCATGAAAGTTTTTGAGTAGGAGAACAATTTGTCAAGACAAGATTTCAGGAAAGAGAACCTTAACACCAATGGGCACAGTGGGTTGCAACACCCAAGGCAGGGTCAGAAAGAGCAGTCAAGAGCCTAAAATGGAGCTCCACACTGGAGAGCATCCTGGCCAAGGGAAAACGTGACATTAGAAACACAAAAAGCAAGGCTAGGGTCTCTCAGCTCAGGCTCTTCCCAGCTGTGTCACCTCAGGCAAATTTCTCAATGGCCCTCAGCTGCTTCTGCAACATGTAAGTAACATCTACACCACAGCATTGTTTATTGGTTCATTCAAAGCATTCATCGAGTGTCCGCTATGTGCCAGGTATAAGGAAGACAAGAGGGGTCAAGGGTGTCTCCAAAATATTTGACCTGTGCAACAAGAAGAGGGGATTTGCCTTTCCTGTGACACTTAAATGATAAACTGTGTGCAAAACTCCTGGCATAGTGCTGGGCATACAGTGGCTGCTCATTAAGTGTAATTCTTTTTGAAGCACTAAGGACCAAATTTTGTTTGTAGCAATGTGATAGAAATGAAGACATTAATAAGAGCTTTTGTAAACAGAGGGAGCAGGCAGGTCTAAAATATATGATTGTCTAGAATATATAAGTTCTATAAAGTTTCTAAAGTAACCTATATAATACCAGGTAATAAATGGTTTAAAAGAACCCTTTCTACCCCCCTGAAATACAAAGGAAGGAGCCTGTTGCATGTCGGGGGACTTGTTAATGGCATCTATGTGTGTCAGGACCTTAGCAGGAGAGAGATGGGACACACTAGCCGGCTGAGTGGCTGGAAAACCTAATAAAGGGTCAGCGGGGAGGAGTAGATCCTGGAACCAGGAGACAGACTCATGGCAGGAGAAATGTAGACTTGGCAGGAGCTCTGGCCTTGGTAGAAGAACACAGTGACCAGCAGAGACTGGAAGGAGCCTGGGTTGAAATACTCCTCTCCACTGAAAACTAAACCCTAAAGCATTACCCATCGCTCAGTGTTTCCCATAGAAGTTAATGGGGAGAAATCAGGAAGAAAAACCATTGATTAATATAAAACACAGCTTCTAATGTCTCTGCTTCTGCAGCTCATCATGAGGCCTTGGTTGACAGTTGTAGCGTCTTTTCCACCACACATTTTGTGTTCCCTACCCTCTCTGCCAGACTTCAGCTGAAGAGAGTTCTTTACCTGCTGGGGAAAATTGTTTTGCTTCTTCATTTCTGTAGGATCTGACTTTTTAGTGTCTCTTTCTTTAGTTGCCAAGGTTTTCAGGACTACTGGGCAAAAGTACTAAGAAGTGCACCAATGACTCCCTGGTGGTCCTCTTTGGCCTTATTTTGCAGCAGCAACCAAATTTTTCTTTATAATTGGAGTCAATACAATACACTAGGTAATACAGAAACCCTCTTATTTGCTTATTGGCTCAGTGGCATGAGAATCAATAGTTCTTGGAAGCGGTCTTATCTTCCAGTTGATCAAGCAGCAGTCTTAGCTTCCAATTCACAGAAACCATGTCTTCTATTCCTTATCAAAAGCATTTTTCTTTTGGATACTAGGACTCTTTGGAGCTCAGGGTTGTAGGTGAGACAAAAACATCCTCCAATGTGTTGATGTAATAGTAGAGGTAGGAAACGCTCCTACCTCTACTCTGTAGTTCCCAGACATGTGCATTCTGGCTATGGGGCTGGCTTAAGGCATTTACCTCATTCTGCAGGAATGCCTCCCAATTTTGAAGGATGGCAACAGAATTGAGACTTCAGCAGAATATATCATTAATTCATCAAACCAGGTACTTCTGTGTTATGGGATACATGGTACAGTTAGTGAATTCTATGGGCATGAGCCCATCACCTTAATTCCCACACATAAAATGTGATCTCTAGACAGAAGTGATGTATAGGATACTATGGTGATGATAAGGCATTATCATTTGTGGACTTAAGTAAAGCGTTGCATCCTCCATCATGAAAGGTGTCCGATATAAACAACCTGCTACTAGGTGGTCAGCTGGTACCTTATGGGGACTGGTGTTGTACTGGAGGCCTAGCACTAACTTCTGACATTGGGAAGTTGAATACTCAGCAACGGTGTTAAACAGACCAGCGTTGGTAAGGGGAATTCCATGCTGTTAGGGTGCTCTTCATTTCTGCTTCCATCACCACTTTGTGCATGCTCCCACTGAGCAAGCACTGGAGTTGGTGGGGAGAGAGGAAACTGGGGGGTTTACAGGATGTCTCTCCTTATTCTGATTATTAAAATCTCCCTCCCTTTCCTGTAGTCTCCCTCGTCACCATTTTTCTGTCATTGGCCAATTCATTAGGCTGTGGGGTGTTTACAAATGTGTGTATGGTCATAATTCCGGCTGCTTTTTCTTCCAAATGTGGTGGGCAGCCCAATGTTCCAGCCAAACTTCTGCTCTCTGGGAGGATTTTCCTTCACTGCTGTCAGTCAGGGCCAGCCCTGAGTGAGACTATAGTACAGTAGCTTTCCTGCAGTGCCAGCATAACACACAGATTTTTTTCCTTCTTCATTAACTGGTTATAGGGAACTCCTTTTGTGTGAGAAGTGAAAGAGAATGCATAGGCTGAGGAGATGAAGAACTTTGAAGAGTGAGCTCATCAAATACAATTCAGACATGAACAGAGATCACAAAGAGTGTCACCAACCTGCACAGGTATGGGTATGCTTTACTTAATTCTAGTCTTACACGGACATAATTCTCTTTAGAGGAATCTTAGTCATTTTTCAGTATATTGGGCTTAAGAATGATACATTGTTACACAAATGACACGTTTTACTTTATTTTTGATAGTCTTGCCAATTAAAAAAAAACTTAGCTACTTCTAATAAAAACAATAACTTTTAGATAAATAATCAGTCACTTTTGAAGTTCTAATTTCCAATCATGGCTCTTCTATCTCAAGGAGTTCTCTGCTCCCTTTTGTCTTCTAAAAATGGTTTGCGTACAGGGAGAATTTCCTGGTGTCAGAGGGAGGGGATCCCTGATCCAGAATCTTATTTATGAACTTCTCATATTCTGTGTCCTCCTGGTCTAGACTCCAGGAACTTTTTGTTTGCTTGTCCTTCTAGCGTTTCCATTTGCCATCACTGATATTTTTGGATTTTCTATACTCTATTTGCAGACCCTCCCCAACCATCTCAGGATTATCTATTATTATCTATTACCTCTCCCTAACTATTCTACAATTCCCAGGCAATTTTGGGAGCAGAACACTAGTCTGGACGTTATTCAATTCACTCTGAGCTTATTTAGGATTTTTATCAAAATGTCTATCATCCTTCCCTGGCTCTGAAGAGCCACGGCTCAGAATAGGGCAGGAGTATGCGTGTATGTGAAGACCCCTTGAAGATGACTTGAGGTCCCTTCTTGAAGTTTCTCTATGTAGTTCTATGCCCTCTGAATCTCTCCAAGCATATTCTAGCAGAAAAGGGCTTTTATAAATAAAAAATAATAATAATAAGGTAAAGGACTTCTTTAAATAAGGTAAAGGACTTCCCCAAGAGTGTAACCTTCATCTTATCTGCCTGATGGTTTAAAGTAAATCTCTATACTCTTTGTCCTTATTATGTAAAGCCAAGGCTTTAGAATGTAGAACATCCCTTATCTTTTCCAGGAAATTCTTGCTGTCAAGAATATTGCCTCACTGTGGATTCAAAGATGCCAGTTTTGAAACCCAAAGCTGAGAGTTGACTACTTTTTCCCCAGGCTCCCTGTTCCCCACACTTGGATTGACAGATTATCAGGCACAAACATTGTCTGTATGATTTGTTAAACAATGTATTTGATCATTTTCCACTGTAGTGTTGCATTTTCTCATGCCTCTCAGTTTTTATTACTTACTTTAAACCTTTGCTCTGTCTTCTTCAGGTGAGCATAAACTTAGCTTCTTTAAGTCCCTCTGCCAGAGGCGTTCGAACCAGAGCAACTCCAACTTGAATAGGGACTGGGTAAAATGAGGCTGAGACCTATTATGCTGTGTTCCCAGGATGTTAAGCATTATTAGTCACAGGATGAGATAGGAGGTTGGCACAAGGTACAGGGTACAAAGACCTTGCTGATAAAAGGATGTAGTAAAGAAGCCAGCCCAAACCCACTAAAACCAAGATGGTGGTGAGAGTGACCTCCATTGGTCCTCATTGCTCATTTTATGCTAATTATAAGGCATTAGCATGCTAAAAGACACTCCCACTTGTGCCATGACAGTTTACAAATACCATGGCAACATCAGAAAGTTACCCTATATGGTCTGAAAGGAGGAGGAACCCTCAGTTCCGGGAATTGCCCACCCCTTTCCTGGAAAACTCATGAATAATCCACTCCTTGTTTAGCATAGAATCAAGAAACAACCATAAAATAGCCAACCAGCAGCCCTCTGGGCCACTCTGCTTATGGAGTAGCCACTCTTTTGGTTCTTTGCTTCTCTATTAAACTTGCTTTTATTTACTCTATAGACTCATCCCGAATTCATTCTTGTGTGAGATCTAAAAACCCAATCTTGGGGCCTGAATCAGGACCCATATTATTCTGTTTTCATGCTGCTATAAAGAACTGCCTGAGACTGGGTAATTTATAAAGGAGAAAGTTTTAATTGACTCACAGTTCAGCATGGCTGGTGAGGCCTCAGGGAACTTACAATGATGGCAGAAGGCACCTTCTTCACAAGGTAGCAGGAAAGAGAAGTGCTGAGTGAAGGGGGAAGAGCCCCTTAAAATACCATCACATCTCGCGAGAACTCACTATCATGAGAACAGCATAGGGGAAACGACCCCCATGATTCAATTACCTCCACCTGGTCTCTCCCTCAATACATGGGGATTATGAGGATTACAATTCAAGATGAGATTTGGGTGAGGACCCAAAGCCTAACCATATCAGGACCCCTTTCTGGTAACACCTCCCCTCACTGTGATTCCTATTTCTGGTCTGTCCCAGTGCTGCCTAGGGACTTTGACTTCTTTAAATAAACATTTTCCATGCTTTCCGTATCCCCACTTAAATCTTGCTTATCAGAGCATTTCCCACAGATAATTCCTCAGCCTGTATTTGGAAGAAATGTAGCCCTTTCATTTAGGTCCTTTCATGTAAGCACACTCTGTCTCAAGCAGCCTTCAGAGCACTAAGTGCACCCCATCTACTCATGTCTTCTCCTGAAGCACATCCTCACTTTCACACACTTTCTATCATCTTCTCCTCAGAGTTCCCTCTCTCAGGAAGCTCTTGGTAGTAGACATATTCTTACTCTTTCTCCCTTCTTCCCTTCAGGGCTTAGCTCCATGAGAACCACAAAGTAAATGGTGTCATAAATATAATTTACCTTTGTGATTTTTTTCCACTTTAGTTTCCACAGCCCTTCCCATTATGCATACAACACTGTTTGATAAGGCTCCAAAGTAGTTATTTTTATTTATTAGAGCACTCAGAGATTTCTAAACCTATCCAAATTAAACTGATGGTAGAATTTGAGCCAGAAAACACAAGGAATATTTGAAGAAAGGATTTTCTCAGCATCAAATGCTACCTTGGTCCTGCAACTGATCTTTGTTGTTCAGAGAAGGGCTGTCCCTGCAGAGGTGTCCAGGTGTCTTTCCTGTGGCTTCTTTAATTGAGGACCTTAAAGAAGAGCCTAGTCCTAAGAAATGACTCCTCTTCAGTTTCTTTCCCAGACCCTAAGGGATTGTGCCCTGGTCGTAGGAATTTACACATACTCCTACCCCTGTGGATCTATAGGGTTGCTTGCTGCTGGTTTTGCCTAAGAGGAAAGAGAAAGTTTCCCCGGGTTGGGCCATTTGGTGCCTATCAATGTGGGAAGAGAGCTTTCTGGGCTGGCTGCTTGTTGTGGCAGGATCCCTCCTGCTAGTGTTGCTTTTCCTCCTGATGTCTCTTGATGGGTTGCGGGGGGGTCTCAGGGGAAAAGGTGTTATTCTCCTGGTTGTCAATTGTCATTGGGGCTTCCAAATGCCCCACTGCTAGTACTGCTGAGCTTACCTAGTATTTCAGTGAGACAACTATTTATTCCAGGAAAACCGAGAGCCTACCTATGTCACCTTCCATTGCTAGGCTGAAGTCAGAAAATGCTAGACCCGGATGACCTTCATCTGTTGGGTGGGGGTTTGTGATAACCACTACCAACATGTTATTCTTCCAGCCCTGGGGTCTAGAATCAGTTTGCCTTGCCTTCCACTGTTCAGAATTTGCCTTTGGTTGCCTCCTGCATTATTGCCAGGGTTGATCATTTACTTAGCAGGATGTAGCAGGGTGAAACATGTTACGTCATATTATCCAGACCAGTAATGCCATCTTTATTTTATTCCCTTCCTAGAGTATTCTATCGTCCTTTTACATTCTCTTATGTAATCTTTCTCCTTTATCTTCATTCCATGATTTTTTAGCAAAGATTAGTCCATTATGTGTGGATTCATATTGCAGTTCTTTAACTTATGTTTGTAATCATTAAAGTATATCGTAAAGTGATGGGATTTAAAGAAAAAGTAGGTTAGATGTCACCTAATTTATCAAGTTTTTTTGTTTGTTTTTTTGTTTTTTTCTTTGGAGAATGTAAGGAAAATGAATATGCTGCAGTTGATAGTAGGCTGAGGCAGGCATCTGGACCAGCGTAACTCGGTGAGTTTGGAGCACAGACACATAACTCCGTTGTTACATAACCTGTTTGTGTAAGCTCATACTTGCTTCTGAGTCACTATTGTCTGTAACAGGTATAACTGCCTTGTTGATGCTGTACATACAGCTTGCTCCCACAGAGAGAAAGGGTTAAGCTGCTGACTCTGTAAGGGAGAGTCACCTCCTTGCAGGCCAGGGAGTGCAGCTGTAAGCGTGCAGGTGGCAGCAGCCAGAGCAGGCAGCCGAGACAAAGGCTGACGGAGACAGAAAACATAATAAAGCCATATATTTCACCTGCTTATGGACCCTGAGTGTTCTTTCAGCTATCTGCCACCCACCCACCCACTCCCCTCGGACCTCAGCATGTGCTGAAACCTGAAATATGGTGTAACAGAGAAAATTCTCATAATTTTTGTCATATAAAAAAGAAGCAAATGTTTGTTCCCAAAACTGAGTATATTTTGCCCCCAAAATGTACTATGAATCTGATAACATTGCATTCGTCATTATGTCCAAGGCAGAGAATGTTTTGATTCATTTAGTGACATGGAGTACGTAAGCAATAGCAACCAGTCCTCACTATCCTATCTGAGTCTTTCAAGAAAATGAGCCAATGATGGCTAAATTTCCTGTCACAGGTAGCTAAACAGGCATGAATGGGGCAGGAGAGGGCTCTCCCCCACCCACTAGGATTGTTGGGTGATGGCTTGGCAATTATCATCACATTTCCTCTCTAAAAGTGATAAATTGGCAAAGGGCACTGGGGAGAGACAATCTCCTAATGGTCCACACCTGTTAACAGTAAAGTGTGAATTGAATGCAGGTGCCAGGGAGAAGCAAAAAGGGGATTCCAATAAAATCTCAGGTATTGGGCAAGTAAGCAAGGGCAAGAGCATTAAGAGGCAAGATGGTGAAGTATCACTGGAAAAGGGAAGGAAACCTCCAAGGGGCATGTGTACAACTTCCTTGTGTGTACTCACTTCTCAAGCATAAGGAGGGCACTGTGCATGCGGGCAGCCCACCCTAAGGGATGAATTATGGGAAAGAGGTGCAAGTCACAGGAAGTGGGCCAGCCTATAAAGTCCTGGGATCAAGGTTAAACATCGCACTTGACCTTCACGTGCCTGCTTGGGTCTCTTCCAGGTATACCTTCCTTTCTTTTCTATTCTAAAACCTTTTAAATAAACTTCCTGCTGTGAAGCTTGCCTTGGTCTCTTTTTCTGCCTTATGCCCCTCCGTCAAATTCTTTCTTCTGAGGAGGCAAGAATTGATGTTGCTGCAGAATTCATTGCCAGTAACTCAGATACCTTCCACCGATAACATCCCTATTTCTAATATAACAGCCTTAGAAGTAAGGAATCTGCGAGGAGCCGACATTGGACTGAAGTCCAGGAACATACATGGTGGAAGAGGGGAGGAAGGAAAGCTCTATAAAAGATCTGAGAACAGATCAAAGACAAACATCACCATACAATTTCCCACCCCAATAACCGCCCTCCTGCGGATGATATCCTCAGAGTGAAATCTGTAGTTCTTCTCAGTGTAAGAGAGACAGGTACTTGAGCAGTGGAAACTTCATCTAAGAGGTGGCAACTCTGATGCCTGAATCACACTACTGGAAGAAGAATGGCACAAACAATATGAATAATATGTTTGGCTTTTCCATGGCAGAATTGAGATATGGGACATTGTTTTTTTGTAAGATTACGAGATCAGACTTTGAATTATTTTTAGTTAAAAAAAGATTTATGAATTCAGTTCAAAGTTTCTCTTTCAGAAAATCTGGATTTGTAAACACTATTTTGAATCTGGAGATTCAAAGAAGTCAATGTTCAGAATCAAATCTAAGAAACGACTCCATGATTCAATGGGTGAGGAAACTGGGAAAACTAGGAAGCAGCTGTTAGTGGGAGCAAAAATGTATTGGTTATACTTCAAAAAATCTGCTACATCAGTAAGTCTTTTTAATGTCTTCATAAATTATATGTGGGTACTTTATACAATTTAAGCAGCTATTATTATGATTATTAAGACTGATGGTTTCTTTCTTTTCTTTTTTTTTTTTTGGGATGGAGTCTCACTCTGTCATCCATGTTGGAGTGCAGTGGTGCAATCTTGGCTCACTGAAACCTCTGCCTCCTGGGTTCAAGCAATTCTCTGCCTCAGCCTCCCAAGTAGCTGGGATTACAGGCGCCCGCCACCATGCCTCAGCCTCCCAAGTAGCTGGGACTACAGGCGCCTGCCACCACGCCTGGCTAATTTTTGTATTTTTAGTAGAGATGGGGTTTCACCATCTTGGCCAGGCTGGTCTTGAATTCCTGACTTCGTGATCCACCCACCTTGGCCTCCCAAAGTGTTGGAATTACAGGTGTGAGCCACCATGCCCGGCCCTATTTTTCTTTTAAGTGTAATAATTCTAGTTAGAGGAGACCACACCCAATATAGTTTACCAATGTGTATTTTTCTCTGGGAGTGTACAATTTTACACAATTTTACAGTCAGTGGGTTATTAACCACTGAATTGACTCACCATCTGTGCTTATCCTACTTATGCCTCTGGTGTTCGTTGCTTATATGAGATAAACAGGCCATTAAGTGTTGCATCAAGTTCCTCCCCTATGAAACCTCCTGCTTGTCCATCTTAATCCTGCCAACCAATCATAGGCTAATAAGAGTTCACAAACTTCTTCTTTTAGGATTTGTCATAATTAGTGAAGCCCCTAAGCCATATGTATAATAACTTTTCTTGATGAAACTCTCAGTCTGTGGAGGGAGGCAACCTAATTTTTGCACCTAAGCACACTCAATCTCAGGTGGTGCTCAGCCTCCTCTTCCCTCTCCCTCAGCCCTTCACTCTTGGCCTCCCACAAGCACATACTCACATCCCTACCATTTCTAACACTTTCTCCTCAGCTGTGGTGCCCTCTCCCAGATAGATTTGACCATTAGAGAATGACTCTCCCTCTCTACCCTTTTCTTCTTCCTTTAAGGCTGAGCTTCAGGGCTGACCCAAGCGAATACTGTAAACTTTGCCTTGGTAGATTTTCTACCTTAATTTCTATCGTTCCTTCCATTATACAAACAACACTGTCTGGTAAGCCTCAAAGTGAGACCCTTTCTATGCATGTGTGTATTTAACTAGAAGAATCAGAGATTTCTGGTCACCTTCACTTTACAAGTGAATCTAATGGTAGCATTTGAGGCAGAAAAGACAGGGACATTTTTTAAAACGAGAACTTTCTTAGATTCCCTCAAATTATATCGTGGGTCATGCAAATAGTCTTCGAGGCTTAGGCAAGTAGCTCCTGTGGCCTTATAGAACTGTCTTCCTGATGCCTTTTCAGTCTACTTAGGGCCTTACAGGAGTTTCTATTCATAATCAAGGGCCTTCTTTTCTACCTCCAGGCCATATACCCAGGGCTTAGGTCCAAGCCTTAGCACTAACATATTCCTTCCCAGATCAATCATGTGCTTCAGCATTTCCTCTTTATGGGATTTGCCAGAGGGAAAAATAAAAATCCCTCTCACCTAAGAGGGGATTTATTTAGCTAAAACTAACACTTAATATCTCAAAAGTAGGATATGTGACAGCTAAAAATAAGGGCTGAATGATGGCTTACTACATTATCAATGTCTTACCAAATGGTACCCATTATGTTTCTGCTGCACAAATGTGCAGAAGCTGGCTTCTAACATTCAGAGAGCACACAAGTGAATAAAAGCAGTTGGCATACAGCCCTATAAAACACAATTCACTGGTGGCTCAAATCTCTTCCTGTTGGGGCCAGTTTTATGGTTTCTGCAGAATTGGAAATCTGCCCCTCAAAATAGCTTTCGGATACTTATTCACTGGCCAATTTAAGCATGTGTAAGAAATATGCTTCTGATTGTTAGTATGTAATGCAGAAGTGTTAACATCAGCTATTGGGAAAATGTTGGGATTCCCTATTACCATTGTGCCTTGATTTAGGTTACAAGCAACCTTTGTGAGAATTAGGGAGTGTAGACACTTATATGTTAGCTTCAGAATGGAGGTCTCTAGAAGGATAGTATTCCTTTTGAGTGAGATGTCTGATGATAGAAGCACACATTCTAGGGAAGGATTTCTTAACCCTTGGCCCTATTGACAGTTCATGCAAGGCAATTCTTTGTTGGCAGTGGGGGTTTTACCTGTGCATTGCATGAAGTTTCTTGACATTTGTGGTCTATTCCCAACTAGATGCCAATATCACTTTGCCTCTGCCAGGTGTGACAACCAAAAATGTTTCCAGATATTTCCAAGTTTTCTGGTTGAGAACCACTATTCTAGTGTAAAGAGAGGACAGCCTATGCTATTTTAGGTATCTAAAGGGCAGCATCCAAAGCTTATGTGGGGTGTACTCAACATTTGAATACAAAGTAAGGAGAACTAAATGCACACACACATACACATACACATACACACATTTTGGCCTTACTTTAATTTTTTTTCTCTTTCCTTTCTGGAATGCACAACCTCCCCAACCTTTATCCATGAATAACAAATTAGCAAAGATTGCTAAACAGTGTATAGATTTCTTAAAAATTTCCTTTGTTCTAGGCCAGGCACGGTGGCTCCCGCCTGTAATCCCAGCACTTTGGGAGGCTGAGGCGGGCGGATCACAAGGTCAGGAGATCGAGACCATTCTGGCTAACACGGTGAAACCCCGTCTCTACTTAAAAATACAAAAAATTAGCCGGGCGTGTTGGCGGACGCCTGTAGTCCCAGCTGCTCGGGAGGCTGAGGCAGGAGAATGGCGTGAACCCGGAAGGCGGAGCTTGCAGTGAGCCAAGATGGCGCCACTGCACTCCAGCCTGGGCGACAGAGCGAGACTCCGTCTCAAAAAAAAAAAAAAAAAAAGTAAAAACCTTTTGGGTTTTTGGGAGGATTGCTTGGGGTCAGGAGTTTGAGACCAGCCTGGGCAACCTAGTGATACTTCTTCTCTATAAAAATAAAAAATAGCCAAGTGTATTAGTGAGCGTCCTCTAGAGGGACAAAATTAACAGGATAGATGTATATATAAAGGGGAGTCTATAAAGGAGTATTGACTCACATGATTACAAGGCAAAGTCCCACAGCAGACCATCTGCAAGCTGAGGAGCAAGGAAGCTAGTCCGAGTCCCAAAACCTGAAAAGTAGGGAAGCCGTCAGTGCAGCCTTCAGTCTGTGGTTGAAGGTCCAAGAGTCCCAAAGCTGAAGAACTTGAGGTCCGATGTTCGAGGGCAGGAAGTGTCCGGCATGGGAGAAAGATGGAGGCCAGAAGACTCAGCCAGTCTAGTTTTTCCACGTTCTTCTGCCTGCTTTTATTCTGGCTGTGCAGGCAGCTGATTAGATGGTGCCCACCCAGATTGAGGGTGGTTCTGCTTTTCCCAGCCCACTGTCTCAAATGTTAATCTCCTTCGGCAACACCCTCACAGACACACCCAGGAACAATACTTTGCATCCTTCAGTCCAACCAAGTTGGCACTCAATATTAACCATCACACAAGTGTGGGAGCACGCATCTGTAGTCCCAGCTACTTGGGAAGCTGAGGCAGGAGGATTGCTTGAGCTCAGGAGTTTGAGGCTGCATTGATCTATAATCATTCCACTGCATTCCAGCCTGGGAAACAGAGCAAGATTCTGTCTGTTAATTAAAAAAATAAATAAATAAGATAAAAACCTTCAGAGAAATGAAGTTTTGAGAAGCAAGAGCTTTGCTGCAATGGGTAATGGTTGTACTGAGGCTGGAGGTGGTGAGGAGAGGAGGCAACAGCACTATAAAATCTAATTTCTGATCCCACCAGAGTTGTTGCATTGGTGTTACCACCTTCTTGTTAGGATGAGAATCTGAAAATCAATCATACTTTTATAGTTCTTCCAAGGAGAGAAATTATGACACCCTACTTCATGGAACCACAAGCTGAACCACTATGTGCTAACTGATATAAGCATTCCCATTTGGAGGAGAAGCATACCTAAATTTGTGAGAGTGTTTCATACTGGACCCATGGGGAAGAGAATATCAGCATTGGATATTGGTTCTGTTTTAACCTTTCTCTTTTTGCCAATACATCCAGTAAGTAGGAATCTTTATTGTTAAGTTTCTGGTGTAGAATTGAAGTAGAATGTCTATGAATCATGGGTGATAGGCTATGCGATTCTATAACAGTGGATGATTTATGCCCTCTTTCTTACCAGAGATGTTGAGAACCAGTCAGCCTGGGATAAATGATTGCAGATTACAAAGGGTGGGGGATGAGTTGTCATTGCATGTTTAGTGTCTGAAGCAGGTGATGGTTCATTTGTGCTGCATGCCAGAGTCAGCAGAGTGAAGATTTCTCCCAGTGGTTTGGGATCCTGGGTCATGATTCCCTAGAGGGGCCATGCATTCAGGGATTGGCCTTGGAGACATCAGAAAGCAATAGGAAGAGTCACCACCTGCCTTTGATACCTGCCACCTTCTCTTTAATTTGCCCTCTTCAAGGACAAAGACTCACCTGTGCTTTCTTGAGTATTTTACAACATGATTCCTAGGTGAATACAGCTCAGGTCTTATGACATCATTAGAGGATCCGGTTCCAGATTCTTAGGAAAAAAAAAACCACTTAAATCCCATGTAAGGGGGAATGAACAGTTAGGTATAGTGAGACAGCTTGACTCTAAGAGTGAGTCTTAAGCACTCAGCTCTGCTAGAAGAATCTGTGGTCAGGTGGTACTTACATTTCACTCAGAGGCCTACAACTTAAGCCTCAAAAATTCCTCATATTATGCCAAATGTATCCTTGCACTTGTGACATAGAGACTCTACATACTGGGAAGGATCTGAGGCAATTGTGTAGGAATTCCCACATGGAGGGAGCATCATAGCAGTCTAAAGGGGAATTACATGCCAGGCTTCTTCAGTGAAGGATGTGGTGAGAAAACTGACCACCTGTAAAAAGTGCATAAATGAACCATGCCTTTTTTCCCTGATGCCTTGACACCTTGAGGCCTTGCTGACCCTGACCCTGGAAGGACGGCCCTCGCCTAGGTTGGCTAATTCCTAGAGGTAGCAAACAACTCACCTTCCCTTCTTTTTATATGCAAAACAACCAATCCAGGGTCATAACTTCACCCACCTCCTTTACTGGGGTCTCACTCTCTAGGCCACTCTCTACCTGTGCTACTCACCGTAGGGCCAGGTGTCAGACAACTAAGGGCAGCCCCTAGGTCTCAGAGCCTGCTGAAATTATTGAAGCTAGCCAATCCTAATCCTTCTTACCCTGTCTTGTGTGTCCTTTCCCATGGAAATCAAAATAAAGTCCTTGCCACATTTTCCCCTTTCTCCCTCTGCCTCCCAACCCACCCCAGTGCTTCTCCGTGTGGCTCCCCATCACCTGGCATGCCGCCTTCTCTTGGAATCTGTGAGTATAATCCTCTTTTCCATGGCAGTCATTTCCTGATCTGTTGGCCTTGCCACACCTAAATAATCATGGAACCTATATTTTAAAGTAGTGACTGGTGATCAGAGAAGTGATGACTAGATCATCCAGGTTGCTCCCAAGCCAAGACAAAGCATATGTGCCTTGATGTTTAGGGAATGCTATAGATGGTGACCATGCACAGAGCATGTGTACAGTTTTACTTTTCTGTACCTCTAGTGCTGAGAACAAACAGATCCTGGAACAGTGTGGCCCTATATTTGTTGAAGAATGAGATGATGGTGGTGAGGGTGGAAAGCTGATTTCAGTTCTTATGGTTCTCCCTAAGGCCTCCCCTTCAAGCAGAAGTTGGAACACGTGACATGGAGGTAACATCCTATGAATAGAGAAGACCCAGGTCAGAGGCTACTAGCACCAAGGACACAGCACTGAGAGATGCCATAGGCAGAGAGACTTGAGTTAAAAAGTTATGGTTTGGATGAGTGGGGGTGGAGGTTTCCTGGTTGTGATCATGATTTTGTTGCCTTCATGGCCTCCAGACTGAGGTGTCAGCCCTCTTTTCTTAGATGAGGTGGCAGCAGTGGGCAGCGGTTGACTCTAGGGGATTGTAATGGCCTTGGCTCGTGGTTTTCCCCAGACATCCCGTGAGTCACAGGCATGGCCAGAGGAACATCTGGTGATGATGTGCCCTGCATGGCCTGGACGGTGGCAGAAGGGGCAAGGACATCAGAGATCCTGAGAGAAGACCTCCTGCAATTTTCTTTTGTCCTATAAAGTAATCTCGCTTCTGATGGGGTTGAAATAGTATGGGATTAGATTGGGAAAGTGAGATGGAGGACAATGGGGAACAGAAACATTTGGGATGTGGGAGATTTAGGAAGAAAGGAGAGCATGAGAATAAACATGAGATCCCTAAGTAGCCCCTTGGGATGAAAAGATGGAAAGGGAAATTATGGGTATTGGGGTTGTGACTCAATCCAGCAACATTACAATCCTGAGGTTGGGGACAGCCTGCTATACAGCGATGGGTTGGCAGCCTAAGCTCAGCACACAGGAATGAGCATGGGGGAGGCAATCCCCTTTAACTTCATACAGCGAGTTACCTGAGGGGCAGGAGGACAGGTTGCTTTCATTAGTGATGTTGGTTCAGGAGAGATGTTTTGGGCAGCCTGAGGGATTGCATTCTGTGGGAAGAGATAAAGAGCAAACACAGGGGCTTTCACTGGCCAATCCCATATCACCCTTCTGCTCATGCAAATAAGTCACTGTGTCCATTATCAAGTCACATCAATAGTTGAGTGCTGTGAAGCAAATTATGTAACTTTTCTAAGCCTCAGTTTCCTCTTCTGTGGAATGCAAAATATAACAGTGCTTACCTCACAGAATTTTGTAAGGAGTTAATAACGTAGTAATAGAATATCTAAAGGTACCTAACACATAGTAAATGCTCAAGAATGCTAGGTATAGTCCTTACCAATGCCATTGCCATTGGTTCTAAGAGTCCCAAAAGGCATAGAGAGGGCAGCAAGTTGAGGATGCATCTTCCAGTTAGAGGTTGGAATCTGGGGATGGGTTAGGAAATGGCTTGTGGTCTAGTAACAGGATTGAGAATCAGGGATATAACTTCCACCCTCATCCCCATATCAATTACTCAGTTTGCTGAGAGCAACTCTTATCCTTTTGTTAACAGCTAACTGTAAGGAGCACTGGGCATCCCCTGCAGGCATAGTTGGAGAAGGAGGATGAGAAGGAGGTGGAAAGAGGTCTTCGTTTTGTAAAAAGGCAGCATCCTGAGCTGAAGGGAAAATGAAGAGAAGATGAAAAGCAGCTCCTGGGTTCATAGGGGAGGGGAGGGAAAGGAGCAGGAAAGGTAGGAGCAGGTACTGTAGGGAGCAGGGAAGAGGCAGCTGTCATGCTTGGGATGCCTGGGTCCCCTTCCAGCACTCCTACGAAGCAGAGATGTCAAGAAGGTAGCCTTGCTCAGGTTCACCTGCCAGACTGAGGAAGGAGCTGCTGAAGATGGGAGGACAGGGACTTTTTATATCTGGCGGTGTGTCTGGTGTGGCATTGTCTCCCCTCCACCAACACACACTCTGGCAGTAACTAGGAACTAAGGTAGCCTGGGAGGGTCAAACTTTTAGAATGAGCCTGGGACAATCTCCAGTTTGTGTCCTGAGAGGTCCCAGCTGCCGTTGCTCTCGTTCTCTGCCTAAGGAATTCTTCCTGCTTTTCTTTCTCCTCTCTTTTCTTCTTGGCAGCCCCACAAGCTCGGCAGCTACTTTGCCAGAAATCACCAAATTGGATGATATATCTCATTATAGGCCTTTTGTTCATTCCTTCATTGGGAAAAGGTACAGAGAGTATGATCTAAGGGCCCTTATTGTCATCTGTTCAGATAACATGACATTGCCCTTGACTAATTCTCTCCATAGACCAGTAACACAAAATTTCAGCTGGGGGAGACATAGAATTAGAATGGAGGCTCTATGAAGGCAGTAATCTTTTCCTGTTTTGGCAACCACTGCAGCCCAGTGCCTTTGTATAAAGAATTTAATAAATATTTGTTAAATGAGTGAATAAGAATACTTTTTATTTAGTTAAGAAGAAAAATAGTTTAAATGATTTCAGAGTTTGTTTAGTGGTAGAATAATGTGATTACAGCTCCAGGTTCTTTTTCCTCTTTCTGCTTCACCATGCTTACAGTTTTGGCTCAAAAGTCACAGGATGATTGAACTAACTCCATGGACACAAGATAGCTGCCACAGCTCCAGACATCACATCCTCACACCAACAGCCCAAGCAAGAAGTGACATGGACAATTTTGAGTCTCTGTTTTTAATTCAAGAAGTGAATTCTTTCTCAGGAGGCCCAAGAAGAACCCTCCCATGTATGTCTTCTTGGTCTGATTTGGGTCACCTGCCACCCCATGCAACTCCACTCCATGCAAAGGTGGCTAGAAAAAGAAATACTTGGCCAAGAGAAGTGAAAGTTATATTATTGGTTTAACCAATATTTTATCCTTCAGGACTGGACACATCAATACCCTGAATGACATCAAGATTCTGTTAACAGTGAGAAAGGGGAAATGGGCCACCAAGTGAGCAGCTAATTATATTGGACAAAGCTACAATATCTACTTTTGCTTCTGCTATAGCTAACCTCTCTGACCTCCATCTTCACTCTCTGGCTTTTCTTTCTCAGAGTGCCCTCTAATGAACAGCTATTTCTCCTACTGACACTTTGAGAATTAAACCCAAGGATCTCCATTAAAACAACATTTGTTCCTCAATGACCAGGATTGAGGTAAAAGAAGAGGAATAGAAAGCAAAAGAGGGAGCTGACTCAGACTCAGAGCTAGACCCAGTAGCAGGCGCATTGTTCATTATAGCTCCTCCATGGGCCAGGCACTGTGCTATGCACTGGGGAGTCAATGGTGTGCAAGTTAGGCAAAGTTTTCTCTTTCATGGACTACATGTTCCAATGCAAGAGATAGTTAATACACTCATAAATAGAATATGAAGTCAACACTGAGAAGCATCATGAAAAAAAAAACAGGGCAAGAGTTAGAGGTGATGCGAAAGGTTTTCTGAAAAAAATTGAGCACTGACCTTTTGTGTGAGAACTGTGTAACTATCTGGGAGACAGGACGTAGGAAGGCCTCAAGGTGGGAGGGTGGCTATGACAGAGAATACCTAGAATGCAGATATGGCCAGGGTGAACAAGGGTTACAAATGAAGTTAGAGATATAGCCAGTGACCAGGGAATGCAGGATTTAGTTGGCCTTGAGATTTTATTTTTTCATGTTGTGGAAGTCACTAGACTTGAACAGGAAGGTGACATTATCTGCTTTCTATTCTAAAAGACTCACTGCAGCAGCTATAAATAAGAGTATACCTATTATTATAATAATTAACAGTGCATATTTGAACAGAGCAGTTATAACAAATTTTTATAAGTAATTAATAAACCCAAACAATATTTCATAACTATATTTTTTTAAATGAGAAAGAGCTTCTCCTCCCACCCAAGTAGTTTATATACTCATGGACATTTCGCTAGAGTGACATACAGTCTAGAACCATTATATTCCTAGCATTTTTTTTTTTGAGACAGAGTCTTGCTCTGTTGCCCAGGCTGGAGGCTGGAGTGCAGTGGCACGATCACAGCTCACTGCAACCTCCGCCTCCCAGGTTCAAACAATTTTCCTGCATCAGGCTCCCAAGTAGCTGGGATTACAGGCATGAGCCACCACGCCCAGCTAATTTTTTTGTATTTTTAGTAGAGACAGGGTTTCACCATGTTGGCCAGACTGGTCTCGAACTCCTGACCTCAAGTGATCCACCCCCTCGGCCTCCCAAAGTGCTGGGATCACAGGCATAAGCCGCCGCACCCAGCCATTCTTACTATTTCTTTTCATAATTGCCAGCTTTGACATGTCTACTTTTTATAATTAAGTAGATAGAAAGAAAAAGTGTTTATTGTAGTAATGCCGTTCAATTTGTCTGAATTCCTTTTGAATGACTTGTCAACAATCTCACACACCAACTTATTATTAAAAATTATTTTTGGTGATTCATCAATTGACAATTGCATTATATCCTCCTTCAATCCTATAAAGACCAAACCATGGAAGCCTCCCGAGCCGTGAAAGGACTTGTTACCCCATCACTGGATCATTCATACACTCATTGTGGATGCCCATATTTTTAATCACTTCTTGTTTGGCATTCTGCAGATTTTTATACCCCAGGATAATAAGATTCAGTGACAGGTGAGGGCTGTGGTTTTCTTTTGTTATGTGGGAGAAAGGCAATGGTGAAAGAAGTCACCTTGATCAAAGCACGTCTCAGGCACTTGAATTTAGTAAAGAGTACATATGCACACTGAAAATCTAGAAATAGATTCCCTTAAAGCTACCCCTGCTTGCCCATCCCTTGAAAAATCTCACACATAGCTCGGAGCCTGTTATTCTAGTTGGTGAGCTCTGTAAGGGTGTGTTATTTTATTTCTCTTTACCCCTTGCCAAGCAGTATGTCTGGCACAGCCATCTTTTTGTTTAAAAATGAGGATCTCGAGCCAAGATGGCCGAATAGGAACAGCTCCGGTCTACAGCTCCCAGCGTGAGCGACGCAGAAGACGGGTGATTTCTGCATTTCCATCTGAGGTACCGGGTTCATCTCACTAGGGAGTGCCAGACAGTGGGCGCAGGCCAGTGTGTGTGCGCACCGTGCGCGAGCCGAAGCAGGGCGAGGCATTGCCTCACCTGGGAAGCGCAAGGGATCAGGGAGTTCCCTTTCCGAGTCAAAGAAAGGGGTGACGGACGCACCTGGAAAATCGGGTCACTCCCACCCGAATATTGCGCTTTTCAGACCGGCTTAAGAAACGGCGCACCACGAGACTATATCCCACACCTGGCTCAGAGGGTCCTACGCCCACGGAATCTCGCTGATTGCTAGCACAGCAGTCTGAGATCAAACTGCAAGGCGGCAACGAGGCTGGGGGAGGGGCGCCCGCCATTGCCCAGGCTTGCTTAGGTAAACAAAGCAGCCGGGAAGCTCGAACTGGGTGGAGCCCACCACAGCTCAAGGAGGCCTGCCTGCCTTTGTAGGCTCCACCTCTGGGGGCAGGGCACAGACAAACAAAAAGACAGCAGTAACCTCTGCAGACTTAACTGTCCCTGTCTGACAGCTTTGAAGAAAGCAGTGGTTCTCCCAGCACGCAGCTGGAGATCTGAGAACGGGCAGACTGCCTCCTCAAGTGGGTTCCTGACCCCTGACCCGCGAGCAGCCTAACTGGGAGGCACCCCCCAGCAGGGGCACACTGACACCTCACACAGCAGGGTATTCCAACAGACCTGCAGCTGAGGGTCCTGTCTGTTAGAAGGAAAACTAACAACCAGAAAGGACATCTACACCGAAAACCCATCTGTACATCACCATCATCAAAGACCAAAAGTAGATAAAACCACAAAGATGGGGAAAAAACAGAACAGAAAAACTGGAAACTCTAAAACGCAGAGCGCCTCTCCTCCTCCAAAGGAACGCAGTTCCTCACCAGCAACAGAACAAAGCTGGATGGAGAATGATTCTGACGAGCTGAGAGAAGAAGGCTTCAGACGATCAAATTACTCTGAGCTACGGGAGGACATTCAAACCAAAGGCAAAGAAGTTGAAAACTTTGAAAAAAATTTAGAAGAATGTATAACTAGAATAACCAATACAGAGAAGTGCTTAAAGGAGCTGATGGAGCTGAAAACCAAGGCTCGAGAACTACGTGAAGAATGCAGAAGCCTCAGGAGCCGATGCGATCAACTGGAAGAAAGGGTATCAGCAATAGAAGATGAAATGAATGAAATGAAGCGAGAAGGGAAGTTTAGAGAAAAAAGAATAAAAAGAAATGAGCAAAGCCTCCAAGAAATATGGGACTATGTGAAAAGACCAAATCTACGTCTGATTGGTGTACCTGAAAGTGATGTGGAGAATGGAACCAAGTTGGAAAACACTCTGCAGGATATTATCCAGGAGAACTTCCCCAATCTAGCAAGGCAGGCCAACGTTCAGATTCAGGAAATACAGAGAACGCCACAAAGATACTCCTCGAGAAGAGCAACTCCAAGACACATAATTGTCAGATTCACCAAAGTTGAAATGAAGGAAAAAATGTTAAGGGCAGCCAGAGAGGAAGGTTGGGTTACCCTCAAAGGAAAGCCCATCAGACTAACAGCGGATCTCTCAGCAGAAACCCTACAAGCCAGAAGAGAGTGGGGGCCAATATTCAACATTCTTAAAGAAAAGAATTTTCAACCCAGAATTTCATATCCAGCCAAACTAAGCTTCATAAGTGAAGGAGAAATAAAATACTTTATAGACAAGCAAATGCTGAGAGATTTTGTCACCACCAGGCCTGCCCTAAAAGAGCTCCTGAAGGAAGCGCTAAACATGGAAAGGAACAACCGGTACCAGCCGCTGCAAAATCATGCCAAAATGTAAAGACCATCGAGACTAGGAAGAAACTGCATCAACTAATGAGCAAAATCACCAGGTAACATCATAATGACAGGATCAAATTCACACATAACAATATTAACTTTAAATATAAATGGACTAAATTCTGCAATTAAAAGACACAGACTGGCAAGTTGGATAAAGAGTCAAGACCCATCAGTGTGCTGTATTCAGGAAACCCATCTCACGTGCAGAGACACACATAGGCTCAAAATAAAAGGATGGAGGAAGATCTACCAAGCCAATGGAAAACAAAAAAAGGCAGGGGTTGCAATCCTAGTCTCTGATAAAACAGACTTTAAACCAACAAAGATCAAAAGAGACAAAGAAGGCCATTACATAATGGTAAAGGGATCAATTCAACAAGAGGAGCTAACTATCCTAAATATTTATGCACCCAATACAGGAGCACCCAGATTCATAAAGCAAGTCCTGAGTGACCTACAAAGAGACTTAGACTCCCACACATTAATAATGGGAGACTTTAACACCCCACTGTCAACATTAGACAGATCAACGAGACAGAAAGTCAACAAGGATACCCAGGAATTGAACTCAGCTCTGCACCAAGCAGACCTAATAGACATCTACAGAACTCTCCACCCCAAATCAACAGAATATACATTTTTTTCAGCACCACACCACACCTATTCCAAAATTGACCACATAGTTGGAAGTAAAGCTCTCCTCAGCAAATGTAAAAGAACAGACATTATAACAAACTATCTCTCAGACCACAGTGCAATCAAACTAGAACTCAGGATTAAGAATCTCACTCAAAGCCGCTCAACTACATGGAAACTGAACAACCTGCTCCTGAATGACTACTGGGTACATAACGAAATGAAGGCAGAAATAAAGATGTTCTTTGAAACCAACGAGAACAAAGACACCACATACCAGAATCTCTGGGACGCATTCAAAGCAGTGTGTAGAGGGAAATTTATAGCACTAAATGCCTACAAGAGAAAGCAGGAAAGATCCAAAATTGACACCCTAACATCACAATTAAAAGAACTAGAAAAGCAAGAGCAAACACATTCAAAAGCTAGCAGAAGGCAAGAAATAACTAAAATCAGAGCAGAACTGAAGGAAATAGAGACACAAAAAACCCTTCAAAAAATCAATGAATCCAGGAGCTGGTTTTTTGAAAGGATCAACAAAATTGATAGACCGCTAGCAAGCCTAATAAAGAAAAAAAGAGAGAAGAATCAAATAGACACAATAAAAAATGATAAAGGGGATATCACCACCGATCCCACAGAAATACAAACTACCATCAGAGAATACTACAAACACCTCTACGCAAATAAACTAGAAAATCTAGAAGAAATGGATACATTCCTCGACACATACACTCTCCCAAGACTAAACCAGGAAGAAGTTGAATCTCTGAATAGACCAATAACAGGCTCTGAAATTGTGGCAATAATCAATAGTTTACCAACCAAAAAGAGTCCAGGACCAGATGGATTCACAGCCGAATTCTACCAGAGGTACAAGGAGGAACTGGTACCATTCCTTCTGAAACTATTCCAATCAATAGAAAAAGAGGGAATCCTCCCTAACTCATTTTATGAGGCCAGCATCATTCTGATACCAAAGCCGGGCAGAGACACAACCAAAAAAGAGAATTTTAGACCAATATCCTTGATGAACATTGATGCAAAAATCCTCAATAAAATACTGGCAAGCCGAATCCAGCAGCACATCAAAAAGCTTATCCACCATGATCAAGTGGGCTTCATCCCTGGGATGCAAGGCTGGTTCAATATACGCAAATCAATAAATGTAATCCAGCATATAAACAGAGCCAAAGACAAAAACCACATGATTATCTCAATAGATGCAGAAAAAGCCTTTGACAAAATTCAACAACCCTTCATGCTAAAAACTCTCAATAAATTAGGTATTGATGGGACGTATTTCAAAATAATAAGAGCTATCTATGACAAACCCACAGCCAATATCATACTGAATGGGCAAAAACTGGAAGCATTCCCTTTGAAAACTGGCACAAGACAGGGATGCCCTCTCTCACCACTCCTATTCAACATAGTGTTGGAAGTTCTGGCCAGGGCAATTAGGCAGGAGAAGGAAATAAAGGGTATTCAATTAGGAAAAGAGGAAGTCAAATTGTCCCTGTTTGCAGACGACATGATTGTGTATCTAGAAAACCCCATCGTCTCAGCCCAAAATCTCCTTAAGCTGATAAGCAACTTCAGCAAAGTCTCAGGATACAAAATCAATGTACAAAAATCACAAGCATTCTTATACACCAACAACAGACAAACAGAGAGCCAAATCATGAGTGAACTCCCATTCACAATTGCTTCAAAGAGAATAAAATACCTAGGAATCCAACTTACAAGGGATGTGAAGGACCTCTTCAAGGAGAACTACAAACCACTGCTCAAGGAAATAAAAGAGGACACAAACAAATGGAAGAACATTCCATGCTCATGGGTAGGAAGAATCAATATCGTGAAAATGGCCATACTGCCCAAGGTAATTTACAGATTCAATGCCATCCCCATCAAGCTACCAATGACTTTCTTCACAGAATTGGAAAAAACTACTTTAAAGTTCATATGGAACCAAAAAAGAGCCCGCATCGCCAAGTAAATCCTAAGCCAAAAGAACAAAGCTGGAGGCATCACACTACCTGACTTCAAACTATACTACAAGGCTACAGTAACCAAAACAGCATGGTACTGGTACCAAAACAGAGATATAGATCAATGGAACAGAACAGAGCCCTCAGAAATAATGCCGCATATCTACAACTTTCTGATCTTTGACAAACCTGAGAAAAACAAGCAATGGGGAAAGGATTCCCTATTTAATAAATGGTGCTGGGAAAACTGGCTAGCCATATGTAGAAAGCTGAAACTGGATCCCTTCCTTACACCTTATACAAAAATCATTTCAAGATGGATTAAAGATTTAAACGTTAGACCTAAAACCATAAAAACCCTAGAAGAAAACCTAGGCATTACCATTCAGGACATAGGCGTGGGCAAGGACTTCATGTCCAAAACACCAAAAGCAATGGCAACAAAAGCCAAAATTGACAAATGGGATCTAATTAAACTAAAGAGCTTCTGCACAGCAAAAGAAACTACCATCAGAGTGAACAGGCAACCTACAACATGGGAGAAAATTTTCACAACCTACTCATCTGACAAAGGGCTAATATCCAGAATCTACAATGAACTCAAACAAATTTACAAGAAAAAAACAAACAACCCCATCAAAAAGTGGGCAAAGGACATGAACAGACACTTCTCAAAAGAAGACATTTATGCAGCCAAAAAACACATGAAGAAATGCTCATCATCACTGGCCATCAGAGAAATGCAACTCAAAACCACAGTGAGATATCATCTCACACCAGTTAGAATGGCAATCATTAAAAAGTCAGGAAACAACAGGTGCTGGAGAGGATGTGGAGAAATAGGAACACTTTTACACTGTTGGTGGGACTGTAAACTAGTTCAACCATTGTGGAAGTCAGTGTGGCGATTCCTCAGGGATCTAGAACTAGAAATACCATTTGACCCAGCCATCCCATTACTGGGTATATACCCAAAGGACTATAAATCATGCTGCTATAAAGACACATGCACACGTATGTTTATTGCGGCACTATTCACAATAGCAAAGACTTGGAACCAACCCAAATGTCCAACAATGATAGACTGGATTAAGAAAATGTGGCACATATACACCATGGAATACTATGCAGCCATAAAAAATGATGAGTTCATGTCCTTTGTAGGGACATGGATGAAATTGGAAACCATCATTCTCAGTAAACTATCGCAAGAACAAAAAACCAAACACCGCATATTCTCACTCATAGGTGGGAATTGAACAATGAGATCACGTGGACACAGGAAGGGGAATATCACACTCTGGGGACTGTGGTGGGGTCGGGGGATGGGGGAGGGATAGCATTGGGAGATATACCTAATGCTAGATGACACGTTAGTGGGTGCAGCGCACCAGCATGGCACATGTATACATATGTAACTAACCTGCACAATGTGCACATGTACCCTAAAACTTAGAGTATAATAAAAAAAAAAAAAATGAAAAAAAAGAAAAAAATAAATAAATAAATAAATAAAAATGAGGGAAGTGGGGGTTTGGAGTGTCAGTTTGTTTTTCCCATTCTTCCCATATCTTTCCTAACTTCCCATCCCACTTCCCAAACTGAGATGTCACCACTGGGACACTGACAACATTTTCTGGATAGGGGAGCCCCAAGCTGGGGACAATAACAGAGATGACATAAGCACAGAGAGGTACAAAGTTTGTCTTTATTACCCAAGAATCAGGAATGGAACAAATGAAGTGGGACGTTTGAGTTAGATTTCTTGGTTGGGACCCTGGTTTCATTACTGTCATGGTCACAAAACTGAGTTCTCAGCCTCCTCCCTGTCAGGTCAGGTGGCAGCAGCGGGCAGTGGTCCAGTCCACCACACTGCACTGGCAGTGGCAGGTGGTTTCCAGCTGAACATCCCACGAACCACAGCCATAGCCACAAGCACAGCCAGTGACAGCCATCCCTGCATGAGCACATGAAGCACAGACATCAGAGCTCTTGGAATTTAAGAGGAGGAAGGGCTACCCACAACCATCTTTCAACCCTGTGCAGTCAGGGGTAGAGCTAGGTTTCGTGGGGCCTCAAGCTCATTCAATTTTGCGAGCTCATTTCAAGAAAAGAAATACAGAAATCACAGAAACAAATATTTGCTGCCATGAAAGAGACTCATGCAAGTGAGAGACTTGGAACTTGGGAGTTTCAGTTTTCTTCGATTTGTGATAAATTCACCTCTCTGTTGGCCCCTACCCATCAAAACAGAGGAATAGATTGGAAAGAGAAATGAAGTATGTGATCATTATGGGACAATGGAGGAGAGGAAGGGCTGAGAAACAGGGGCATGAAGTGAAGGGGTGAAAGGAAGAGGCAGAAGCCCAAGATCCCCCAGTAGCATCCTTCAGGGAAACAAGAATGGGCAAGGGGTCTCTGGGAACCAAGAGTCATGACTCAGCCCCAGGGTGCCAGGGTGATACAGACCTGACATGGGGGAAGACGTAGGTGCAGGGAGATGGACAGGGGAGGATACAGGGCATCGTAGTCGCCATTCCCTCTCAGGGAGTTACTCACCAGCAGGGCAGGAGGACGGTCTGCCTTGGCTTTTGACACTAGCACACGAGAGCTTCTTGCTTATAGGAGAGGGACTGTACTCTGAGTAGGAAAGAAGAAAGGGTACATCCCATGAGCTATCCTCCCCATAATCCCCTTATCCCCTTCCAAATTGTCTTCTACCTTGGAGGTGACACTGTGTCCAGAATCAGCCTACTCATCAGCTTTTAAGGTTAGTTTCCTCATTTTTAAAGCAGAAGTAATAGTTGTCCTTACCTCATAAAATGGTTGTGGGAATTAAATGAAATAATCTACGTAAAACTTGGATTATACCTGGTTCATAATGAGTGTTCATAAATTACAGCTACCATTCTCCTCCACCTCTTCCTCCTCATCAGGAAAACCTCAGCTTTTAGCCAAGACTTCAAACACGGGTAGGGTAGTGTAGAAAGCCCTCATCAGGGGTTGGGCTTGGTTGGGATCTTGGGATGGGATAGAGACAAAGCTAGAGTTTAAGAACAGGAGAAATGAGCAAGGGTCAACCCCCCGCTTCCCCTACCCCAGTCAGTTACCTAGACTGTTGAGAACATCCTTGATCTTCTTATCCATAACGGAGTCTAAGGAACACTGAGTACTCCCCGGGTTGATCAGCTGGAGAAGGGGGATTAGGATGAGAAGGAGGCAAGAGGACGGCCCCATCCTGTACAGAGTCAGTGTCCTGGGGCTGGGAGAAAAGATGGAAAGCAGCTTAGATCTCTGAGCTCCTGGGTGGTGGTGAAGGAAAGAAGACAACGTGGTTAGTTTCCAGGGAGTAAAGATGGAAGAACAGCGTCATCAGTACTGGATCTCTTTAGGCAGTTTGGAGAAGCAGGTAGGGTTGCTGAAGAACAGATTTATTCACCAAAACATTCAGAGAAGGTCTACAAGGACTAGCCAGGCAAGGGCGTTTTAATACACCTGGTATTAACCTGGGCACCTTTAACATACAAGCACACACAAACATGTAAACACACTCCCAGCACACTTTCAAAGACCTGTGCCAGCTAGGGTAACAGGTGACTGTGATAAACTTTGGAGTGTTCATGAGAAGCAACAGCTGCCTTTGCTCTGGATCTCTGCCAAGGGAGTCCTCCTGCCTTTTTGTTCTCCTTCTCCTTTCTTCTTGGCAACCCGATAAGGCTAGCACCTGGGCCTTCTGTGGTCTGCCGGTATTATAGGCTTCTTGTTTGATCCTTCATCAGGAAGAGGTTACTTTGCAGTTAACAAACAAATTAATCCACCCATCATCTATCCCAAACCCAAGTGTATGCTCTTTCTTATCTCTGTTGGCTGAGGGAGGGCCCTACTTGTCACCTGTTCAGACACCATTTTATTGTCCCTGGCCAATCTCATTTGGAGGAAAGTCACAGAAAGACTAATTAATCCTGGATTAAAAATAAGGAAGTTCAGTATTTACTTAACTAGAAGCATGGTTTATGATTCCAGAGTTCTTTTGGGGGCTCATAAAGTTTCCCTTTTTCCCCCACCATTCTCAGCTAATCTTTCGATCTTGTCTCCTCATGGTCACAAGGTAGAAGGTGCCACATCCTCAGCCCAGACCCTGAGCAGGAAGGAAGGAGTGGGGCAAGGCCACTTTCTGTAGGGGCTTTACCTTTTTATTTTAAGAGCAAGATCTTTCTCTAGAAGCTCAAGAAGATTTCCCCTTACATTCCACTGTTTGGTTCTGGGTCACACAACCTCCCTTTCTATCAGCTATGGCTGAAAAAGAGAGCTGGGCTTCACAATTCCTTATCCAAGACCTGGGGCCCAGGTATGTTTCAGAACTCAGAATGTTTCAGATTATGGAAGGTGCAAATTCTGTATATTATGTTAAACCACCAAGGAGGTTGGGGGCAGCACTCTGCAGTCTAATGCATAAATAGCCTGATGCAAAATGTATGAATATTAATGTGGGATAAATAAAAGACCATAAAGAGCCTCACACCAGGCCATGCCAAGTTTTTCTGCCAAATGAGTTAGCCTCAAATTTAGGACAGAACATTTTCATCTTTAGAGCCTTTTAGATTTTAGAATAATGGATAAGGGATTGAGGACTTTGAGGATTCACATATGGCCAAGAGGAATGAGGATGCCATGATTCCTCATCTAGGATGGGGCATGTGGCCACCATGAATAAATAAAATTTAAAGAAGTGCAGATGAAGAAGCAGAGAAAGGGGCCATGTGTTGTGGCTCATGCCCATAATTCCAATACTTTGATAGGCTGAGGCAGGAGGGTCTCTTGAGCACAAGAGTTCAAGACCAGCCTGGGCAACATAGTGAGACTCTATCAAAAAAAAAAAATTTACTGGGAGTGGTACCATGCATTTGTGGTCCCGGCTACTTAGGAGACTGAGGCAGGAGGATCACTTGAGCCTCAAGGTTGCAGTGAGCTGAGATTGTTTCACTGCACTCCAGCCTGGATGACAAAGCAAGACCTTGCCTCAAAAATAAATAAAATAAAATAAAATAAAATGAGAAGCAGAAAAAGGCAGTTAGGTGACTATTCCTTGAGGCAGTCAGAGCTGGAAAGGCTGGGCTCTACCTCTGTGACCAGCCTTTCTGCCCACTTTCCTGGAGATGCCCTCTAATGAACAGCTATTACTTATACATATCTCTCTCAGGCAACTTTGAGAAATGAGGCCTGGAGATGCCAGCAAAAAGGCAAGGATGCTTCCTCAATTACCAGACAGGAGTTGAAGAGAAGAAAAATGAGACTGGAGAATAAGAAAGAGCATACACTTGGATTTGGGATACATGATGGGTTGATTAATTGTTTGCTAATTCAATGAAAATTTGTAGAGCTTCTCTTTACCAGCTCTAGCTCTGCTGACTCAGTGGTGGACAACGTAGACAAGCTCTTTGCCCTTTTGTAATGGGGGAGATAAATACAGTGTATATACATATACTGTATTTATATATATGTATGTATGTGTATATATATATATGTATGTATATATATACATATATATATGTATGTATGTGTATACATACATATGTATGTATGTGTATACATACATATGTATGTATGTGTATACATACATATGTATGTATGTGTATACATACATATGTATGTATGTGTATACATACATATGTATGTATGTGTATACATACATATGTATGTATGTGTATACATACATATGTATGTATGTGTATACATACATATGTATGTATGTGTATACATACATATGTATGTATATATGGTCAAGTATTGAGAAATGCTGTAAAGAAAAATAAGTCAAGACAAGGCAATAGAGTGTGCCACTGTGCTATTGCCCATAATGCAGTATGTTCAGGAAAGGTGTCTCAGAAAAGGTAACAATGACCTGAAGAAGTGAGGGGGTGAGTCACAGGAAAATCTGGGACAAATGTTCTAGCCTGTGGAACAAGTATAAAGAGCCCACGGCAGAGAGTTGGTTAGTGTGTTGAAAGAATGACAACAATGGCAATATGGCCAGAATGAAGTATAGGGGGAAGGCCAGAGAAGAAGTCAGAGAGCTGACCAGGGCCAGATTATATAGAGCTTGTAAGCCAATGTAAGGGCTTTGGATTTTATTATAAATTTGACAGCAAATTATTGTAGTGTTTTGTTCAGGGGAGTGACATAAAATGATTTATGGTTTTCTAATGTTTAATTTTTCTTTTTTTTTTGGAGATAGGGTCTAGTTCTGTTGCCCAAGCTGGAGTGCAGTGGTGTGATCATGGCACTGCAGCCTCAAACTCCTGGGCTCAAGTGATCCTTGTGCCTAAGCCTTCCAAGTAGCTGGGACTATAATAGTGTGCCATCACACCCGGCTATTTAAAAAAAAATTTTTTTTTGTAGAGACAAGGCCTTATTATGTTGCCTAAGCTAGTCTTGAATGCCTGAGCTCAAGTGATCCCCCCATCTCGCTTCCCAAAGGTGAAATTACAGGTGTGACCCACTGTGCCTGGCCCTGATTAATGTTTTATAAAGCTTACTATGGCCACTGTGGAAGAGACACCGCGGAGGGAAAACAGGTAAGATGTAAGCAGGGAAAGCAGGCAGCAGGCTTCTACAGAGTTCTAGGTCTTGGAGAATAATCAAGGAAGGAGTGAGAACCGAGCCTCCATAGGGTTTGCTGATGTATGCAAGGTGTAGAAGAAATAGAGAAGTACAGATCTAGAGTTTTGTTTTGAATAACTTATTGAAGAGTGCTGCTACTTACTGAAATGGGGTTCCCTGGGAGAACAGTAGATATGGTGGGAACATAAAATCATATTTGATCATAGTCAATTTAATGTACCTATTAGAAATGTAGGGGGAGCTGTGGCATACAGAGTTAGGTATACAAATCTGGGGTTCAGGGAAACAGTAAGAGTTGGAGATATAAATTTGTGAGTAATCAGTACACAGGTGAATCTATGTGCAGAGATACTCTCATAGGAAAAAAGAAATCTATTTGTTTTTAGTGAAGCACATAAAGAAAGCAGAAGACTGGGCAGTGGATGAGCAGAAACATATAAGTTTAGAAACATGAATTAAGCTGCATTGACTAATCAATATGTTGGGAATAGCAAGGAAAGAGAAGAGGATAGGCACGCTCAAGAGTGCTCCTGGGTTACAATAAGCTTGGACAGCAGGGATAGTGGCCACCTCCGGGGAACACTTGTAGTCAGTGGCATGTTTAGCATACTTGACACCCAGAGGGGATCACTTTTTAATACTTCTGTCCTTTATATAAAAAAATCATTTTCAGTAATAATTATGTAATGATTACTAATAGAGCTAATTATTATTTTTGATTCATTCTCTGGTATTAAAACAAAAAAATTAACTATCAGAAAGGATAAATTTTAATTTTAAATATATCATTTAAATTCAGTACAATATTTTACATATGAACTAAAATTTGCACTTACCAAACAAAAATATACCTCACAGTTTGCACTGTTTCAATATAAATTTTAAACACAATTAAACTTCACATAATCATATAGAATGATCAAATGGCTCTGTAATTCAAGTTGGTTTAATTTGTCTTTACAATCACTGGGCTACATTATTTCTTTAGAATCTACTGTTTAAAGGCAGGAATATGTAATAGCACAGGGATTGGAGACAAACCTTTAGAAACAAACTTGGGTATTGAATTGTTATGCTCTTACTTTAGAAATGAAGGTGTGTAGCTGAGGCCAAGTATGTTGGGGCCAACTGTATAACTGGAAGTTCTCTGAATTAATTTTCATGTAGAACACAATGTTTATTAAAATATAAATAATAAAAATGTACTAAGTTGAAGTTTACATATATATTGTTAAAACTCAACAGTAATCACAGCAATTGTTTAGAACTTCAATTCACAATGTTTTGGGGGAGGAATATTTTACCATTGATATTACTTAGAATTGCCATGCATGGTGATAATGAAAAGCAGATTAACTTTTATAGGCTTTATTATTGCTTTTGAATTCTCTATGGATAATGCACCCTGCTTCTAGCCAGCGTCGCCACCCTTGGTAGTCGCTGCTGATGGTATAAGGACATTGCCTGGGATTAGTCATTCTCTCATAGAGCTTCTGCCTCAGCATTCTTGGAAAATGTTCAGAAAAACCCTATACAGGGAGAAGAAAGAAAGGTTTTTTTACTTCCAAAATTTGTAGATAAACCCAGTGGAGACTGTTAAACATTCTCCTTTCCCTTAGAGCTACCTTCTTCCTAAGACTGCACTCCTCTCCCAACGACCTAACTGTGGAGGTAACTGTAATTGTCCATAATGCAGGATGTTCAGGGAAGGTGTCTCAGAAAAGATAACAATGACCTTTTAAATCTTATTTCCTTTCCCCCATTCGATTCTCCACTGATTATTTTGTATTTCATTTAATTTTATACACATAAAGTTTGAGAAGTTGTTAGCATAGGGCTCCAGCTGAAAAAGAAAAAAAAAAAAAGAGGGACCATAAACCCGGGTATGGGCAACTGGGAAAGGTAAAGGCAGAGAAGCTGGAGATGAAGCTAACAGGCTCATCTGTTTCAGGCTAAGCTAAGGCACAGATGTGACCATGTCCTATGACTAAGTCCTGTGACTTCTCATACATGGGAGCAGAGGGCTTCAGCATAGAATGTGGAATTCTGAAGGTGCATAAGACAATCCATTGGCTTAGAAGTTAATATCAAAGCTTCTGTTTTTATTTAGTTTTTCATTAAACATTTTCTATTTTTGTATGTTTTATCATGAACATAATGTGTTATTATATATCTCTAGTTCATTAATTACATTTGAATATAGGTTGAATTTTTTTAACTCATGATGTATCTGGAAAAAAAGGAGACCAAAAAATAAGTTTCCAGAATGTTTTTGGCTAGAATTGAGGAACTCTCTGATGTGGCATTGAAGGGCTGATCATTTTTTATATTCTACAGAAATGAATCTTGTTGATTCCTATACTTTAGATACTACACAATAAATTAGTCAAATTGATATAAGACATAAAAATTGAGAATCCAGATTTGTTTTCTCATTCAGAGAGGAAGCTGACCTACCCCTGAATGGAGATTAGCCATAGGTTCTCTTGGTGACAGAATAAAATGTCCCCAAGAAATGATGTTGGAATCTGGGCAAGGGTTGTATAAAACCTGATTAAGACCCAGAGTTCTGCATCATCAAGCAGAGAAAAAAAAAATGGGTTTGTAAAACTCGACGAGCTGATGCTTTCAATTAGCTGTGAAACCATAAAGGATCCTTACCCATCAAGATTTCAATCAGGTACAAGTCTGTTAAAGAAGAAGATTGCATTCCAGTCGCAAAAGGAGTGCCCTAGGGTGGCTGAGTGGATTGATGCGTCCAGTATTATTGCTTCTTAGAATGCTGGAAAATGTCTATAAAGGCAACAGTTTTGTTCCTGGCAGTATTCATTGTAAAGTTACTTATGGTAATACTTGGCTAACTGGTTCAGCTGTTAGATGTGCACAAAAGCAGAGGTGAGAGATAGAGATACTCGGTGGAGAATGATTACAAGAAGGAACACTGGGGAAGGGATAATGAGAGAGGAGAGTTGGGAGAAGGAGAGAATGGAGAAAGGAGGTAAAAAGAAAGAGAAAAGTGTGGTGGAGGCTAGAGAAGCCACAGGCCCTTGCACTTTCCTTGAAGAGCAGTGTTTCAGGCTGGGTGCGGTGGCTCACGCCTGTAATCCCTACAATTTGAGAGGCCAAGGTGGGTGGGTAGCCTGAGGTCAGGAGTTCAAGACCAGCCTGGCCAACATGATGAAACCCCGTCTCTACTAAAAATACAAAAAAATTAGCTGAGCATGGTGGCACATGCCTGTTATCCCAACTACTCAGGAGGCTGAGGCAGGAGAATCACTTGAACCCTGGAGGCGGAGGTTGCAGTGAGCTGAGATCGCACCACTGCACTCCAGCCTGGGAAACAAGAGCAAAACTCCATCTCAAAAAAAAAAACAAAAAAAGAGTAGTGTTTCAGTAAAGTGGTTTAAGGGCAACATAGACAATCCCTGCATTAGTAGATTCACCTGGGGATCACCTGTCAGGGCAGTCATCCTAGCTCAGTGCGCTTTTCCCCACTTGGCATCTGTGTGTAGGTTAAAAAGAAGCCACAGAGGATCCCAGGGTTCTGATTCAGGAAGGGGATGGGTCTAGATGGAGATTGCCAGGAATCCCTATGAAAGAGTACAGACCCGCAGAAACTGCTAGAGGAGGGAATAAAAGGTAATGGGCTATCAAAATGCCTTTTGGTAGTATCATTCCTGCCATATTTTTATGAGCAGACACTCAATTGTTTGACTCTCCAATCAGTGCTTTTTGAAAGAGACTTCCTTTGTCTGCCAGTGAAATGCTCCATGGGTCATAACTCAGTTTAGGAGCCATGTGCCCTTTATTTCTCTAATGTTTTAAGAGGATACCTGAACTGATTAGGGACATTTTATATATTTATATATACATAATTTTATTTTATATATAATATAAATTACATATATAAATTGTATTTATATATAAGTATATACATGTAAATTTTATTTATACATAAATATAAATATATTCAAATATATAAATATAAATTTTATATATATATACACACACACACAAATTACAATCATGCATTGCTTCACGGTGGGGATGCATTCTGAGAAATGTAAGTTAGGCAGTTTCATCATTGTGCAAACATCACAAACTTACCCAAACCTAGATGTCGTGGCTCACTGCATACCTGGGCTATATGATGTAGCCTATTGTTCCTGGCTACAAACCTGTATAGCATGTTACTCATACTGAATCCTGGAGGCAACTGTAACACAATGGTAAGTATCTGTGTATCTAAACTTAGGAAAGGTACAGTAACAATACAGTAGAAAAGATTTAAAAAATGGTACACCTGTAGAGGGCACTTACCATGAATGAAGCTTGCGAAACTGAAAGTTGTTCTAGGAGAGTAAATAGAAAGTGAATATGGGCCGGCGCGGTGGCTCAAGCCTGTAATCCCAGCACTTTGGGAGGCCGAGGCGGGCGGATCACAAGGTAAGGAGATCGAGACCATCCTGGCTAACACGGTGAAACCCCGTCTCTACTAAAAATACAAAAAAGTAGCTGGGCGTGGTGGCGGGCGCCTGTAGTCCCAGCTACTCGGGAGGCTGAGGCAGGAGAATGGCGTGAACCCGGGAGGCGGAGCTTGCAGTGAGCCGAGATCATGCCACTGGACTCCAGCCTGGGTGAAAGAGCGAGACTCTGTCTCAAAAAAAAAAAAAAAAAAAAAAGTGAATATGAAAGCATGAAAGCCTAGGACATTACTATACACTACTGTAGACTTTATAAACACTGGAAACTTAAGTTATACTAAATTTATTTTTTAAATTCTTCAATAATAAATTTTAGCCTGCTATGACTTTTTTACTTTACAAACTTTTATATTCTTTTAAACTTTTTGACTCTTTTGTAATAGCACTTAGCTTAAAATAAAATCACATTGTACAGCTGTACACAAATATTTTCTTTCTGTATATCCTTACTATATATGCTTTTTCTATTTTTCAAATTTTTAATTTCTTTTTTACTTTTTAAACTTTTTTGGTTAAAAACAAAGACACCAATACAGACATTAGCCTATGCCTACACAGGGAGCAGATAGTATCATGTATTTCACCTCCACATCCTATCCCACTGGAAGGTCTTCAGGGACAATAACATGCATTGAGCTGTCATTTTCTATGATAACAATGTCTTCTGGAATTCTTCCTGAAGGACCTGCCTGAGGCTGCTTTACAGCTAACTTAAAAAAAAAAATTAAGTAGAAGAAATACACTCTAAAATAATGATGAAAGTATAGTAGAGAAAATATATAAACCAGTGACATGGTCATTTATTATCATTATCAAGTATTATGTACTGCACTTAATTGTATGTGTTCTATATAGCTGGCAGCACAGTAGGTTTCTTTACACCAGCATCACCAGAAACATGTGAGCAATGTGTTGTGCATGGGCGGAGGGGAGAGAGAGACAGAGAGAGAGAGAGAGAGAGAGAAGAAGGAGAGTGAGAGAGGAAGAAAGAGCGAGTGAGGGAGAGAAAGTCCATAACAAAATTGACTTACATACATTGTAATGATGTTGTTGTTTGGCAGGGTAATTGGGTATACATGGTAAGCAATTAACATAATTAATAAATATGACTTTCCAGAGTAATATTTATTAATTTTTGGTTTTTGGTTGTTGCTTTCTATGTATGGACACTTATGAAGTGTCCATGTTGATAGTATTTTCTGATACCAGGTGTTATCTCATTTTCATTATAATCACTGAATCAGATGTAACTGATATATCATCTTCCCATGTAACTAGGAATAGAAAATGGAATTGGGGGAATACCTGAATACTCTTTTGATTTGCTGTGCTCTTATAATTTCTGGATACTGACCTGTTCACTCAGGGGAGGGTTTGTAAAGTGGTCAAAGAGATTTCTGGAAGAAAAGGGATAGAGACTCCAACACATTTCACTTTGAAGTTCATATTTTTTAGAATCTTATGTTTAGAATAAGACTTTATAGCATTGAGATACTTAACACTCAAAGTCTGAGGATTGAGATGGTACTGTTTGTGTTCTGTTAACACAAATGGACACCAAGATCTCCGACTGGGGACACATAACAAAGGATGAGGGAGTCTAGACTGGGAGACCTGGGCTCATCACCAGGAATTAGTCTCACTATGGAAGACTGGTTCTGGCAAATCCTGTGACCAAGCCTAAAATCCTCATTGGTATTGATCATGATTTGATAGCCAATATAACTTAGGCAGTTCTGTAATAGAGGGTGCTTGTTAAACTACGCATTGGAAAAAAGGCACAATTCTAACTTGTTCATTCTTAGTAGTGAGACAAACTTAATGCCATACATGACTTAAAGTTTAAGGATTATTGGAGTCTCGCTGCAGCACATCATAGGGTCATAGCTCTCATGGTTAGATACCATAAGTTTTCTCTTCCGTGCCTAGTTGTTTGTTTATTTTCCCTAATGCTTTACTAAATTTTAAGTTACCTGAGAGCAAGAATTATTTCTCAATTATTTTCTATATCTCCAGCACCCACCAATAGCTAGCACATGGCAGGTGCCAATAGTTGTTGGTTGGTTGAATACGTGAATAAATGAATGTTGGCTTAAAATCTTTTATCTTTTTGGTCCTACCCCTGCTTTAACTTGAGGATAAAGTAGAGTCTCTCGTGCTGCCAAAGTGCACAATAAGGAATGAGGACCTTTTGTCAGTTTTTCAGGGACAGTCTCTGAGCTTGTGTTAAAAAGTTTCCACCCTGGAAACTTCAGATACAGGAATAATGAGTTGCCAAAGACTCCCTCCCTCAGTGCCAATAACGCAAGAGCTTTGCTGAGAGCCAGATAAGGGTCTCTTTGAAGCCATCTGCAGATACATTGGGGAAGTTGTGCTCTTCCTATGAAGAAAAGCCACATACATACAAAAGCATACTTGCTATCTATTCACCGATCCATTGCTGAACCACTGCAGCCTCCAGTCACAAGTCTTTCTTACAAAACACACTATACCACCATGACAGTCAGAGAGGTTCCATTTAAACCTCTGAAGTAATAATTTCAAGCTCCTTGGTAAATCAAGCGTCAAGCTAGATTTGAGGTAGGAGGTGAAACTCAACTCTGAAGATGGGGCTTGAACTCCGACGAGATTGAAGACACTAGCTGAAACAGGGAAGAGGCAAAAGCACCTCTCCCTAAGACATGCCTGCCAGTGCCATGGCTGTTTACCATTGCCATGCACACCCAAAACTTACCACCCCTTTCCATGGCAATGACCTGAAAGTACCACCCTTTTCTGGAAAATTCTGAGTAACTTATCCCTTAATTTGCATCCTATTGGCACTGAGGGAGGGAATCTTTGGCAACATTCTCAAGTCTCAGAGTTTTCTTACCCAGTGGGATCTCCAGAGGTAGAGGAGAGGAAGGGCTCCCTACTGTTTTGGAAAATATTCTCAAAACCTTTGTTTATTGCCCAGAGAACTGAGAAAGTACTCAGGAATACTACACAGAAATGTTACAAAGTTCTCTGTTAACTCTCTCCTCTGAAGTCTGTATGGGGAAATTTCCAAGAAATCTTCCCAAAGCTTTTTCTTCTAGTGATCCACATATCATTACAGGAATGAAAACTTGAAGATGAGGTCCATGAGCCTGTATCTCAGGCATCAACCTAAATTCCGTATCAGAGTGTTAGAATTCCCAGGGCCCTTGGAGATAATCTAATTCTACCCTATCACTTAAAAGACAACCAATCCAAGACTGAGATGGACGTTACAAATTACCTACGGTCAAAAATGAGCAATCTTGTAGACATAGAACGGGGAGTAGAGCCCAGGTCTCTCGGCTGCATTGCATTGTACTTTGTACAATGTAGTCTTGCTTCTCTAAGACCAAATGAAATCTAAGAGAAAAGATGATACATTGTCTTTGCTAATTTTAAGTACATTTCACATTTCAGAAGGCCATTGACCATAAAAGAATAAAGTCAAGTAAGCTATGCAGCCAAAAATTGTGATGCAATAATATAAATGCAAAAATAAAATGAAATAGCAAAGTGATTCCTTTTTCTGGATGCAAGACTTCCTGAGACCACTGGAGAATGAAGGCAGCACAGATTTAGTTTCACAGGTTGTGTTCAAAGCTGTTTTCAAAGCCAGATGTCTGGTGATGGATGTCGACTCTCTTTTCTCCTACTGGGTAATTGATATTTATTATAAAACTAAACAGGAACATGCAGGGCTTGGGGAAAATAATTCTGGCAACTGCTAGTTTCAATATTCAGTTTTTGCAGTTCATCTCCCCCAAGCATATTCCTCATGGATGTCATACTCACTGACATATCCCTCTGCAATCAGTCTCTATTATTATTATTTTGTCTCTTCCATGCTGAGCCCTGGCCAAGAGCCCTGAGCAGGGCATGAAAATTCAAGGATGTGTTAGCAAATAGAAGGACCATGATCTGTTGCCACATGCAGAAACCTGGGGGCTGTATTCACAGGTCAATCTAGGAGTTGGGCCCCTCTCTTTTCCTGCTTGAGTTAAGAATTCCTGGCAGAGAATTAAAGAAAGAATTTAAACCACTGGCTCTTGGGGAAGCTTCCTGATGCCAACCAAGACATCTGAGGTGTGACCTCAGTACTTCCTATTGGCATCAAGTTTGGCACAGGCTTCATGATATTTGAACTTTCCTTAGTCTTGACAGCGTTGGAATTTTGTCGGTCCTCTGAGTTCTCATTCACCTCACTCTACTGTCAGGAAATCATAGGTTACACTTACACAAATCTGGCAACACCTCAGGATGTTTTGGGAACTGTCACTCTTTGTTGGCATGGAACCCGTACCAACTGCTCTTTGTGGAGTCTGGCCTGGGCATCTCGTGCTAGGATTGGAGATCTGGGCAAAATTTAAGAGCTGGAAAAATCAGAGTGACTACAACCCTTGCTCTCAAACTTCTCTTGGAGAAGTTTTTCATTAAGGTCAAGTTCCAAGCATGGCACTTGGACCAGGACTCAGAACCCAAGAAGTCAAGAGTTGAGCAGACCTCGGTACAAAGTGAGTATCAGAGCAAGATAGGAAGCAAAGGAAGAAGGTCTAACCATACAAAGCTGCAAATTTTGGCTAAAGAGTTTGGCCTACATAATATTTTGAGAAAAGTTAAGTTAATTGTCCATATTTAACTCATAATGTGAGAATAGGATATCTCACATTCAAGTCCAGATTTCCATCTCCTCTTGCTGCACCTTGTAGGTCCTCAGCCCAGGCAAGAGAAGACTATCCTATCTGGAGCTTTCTCTTCAACCACTTAACTCATTCCAGAGGAAAATGCTCATTCTAGGTTTGCATTTTTTGGTACTTATATGCCATTTCATTTTCATTTTCCTAAATAGAGTACAAGGAACACACACTATCCTTTCCTCTGTGTTTTCTTCCTGAGAAACTATTATTTAAACCAAATATTGGTACTTGAGAAACAGAGAATTCCACCTGACATTTTGGATGTTGCCTCTATTCATGTTATGAATTTTTTTCTTACTAAATCCTTCCTTCAAATAACATGCTTAGGCTTGTTCTTGGGGGAGAAATAACATTTGAAGGCTCACATTTGGTTTTAGTGTCACTATTTTAAGAAACTAAAACAGGTTTTTCTAACAGTTTTTTAAACAAAAGCTTCCCTTTTTAACATCAGCTTTTGTGATAGTTGTCATACTTTTTAGTATCCATTAAGAAAACATTTTTCCTATTCATGTATCGTATCAAATATTTATTGAGTGACCATTATGGGGCCAGGCATTAGGATACCAACAAAACAAATATATTCTCTGCCCTCGTGGAGATTATAGTATAATGAGAGAGAAAAACACTAAATATTAAACAATGATTCACAAAATTATTACATGATTACCATTGGGTAAGGGTTAGGATGAAGAAGTAGAAGGGGGTCTTCCCTGTGGAAAGTGACATCTTCATGATGTAAAGATGAGCAGCACTTAGTCCGGCGTCTTACTCCATCCAGTCTGCTATAAGAAAATACCTTAGACTGTGTAGTTCATAAATGAAACTCACAGTTCTGAAGGCTGGGAAGTTCAAGACCAAAGCACTGGCATATTCAGTGTCTGGTGAGGACCTGTGTCTCATAGATAGCACCTTCTATGTGTCCTTATGTGGCAGAAGGGGAAACAGGCTTCCTCAAGCCTCTTTTATAAGGGCACTAATGCCATTCATGAAGGCTGGCCTCATAACCCAGTCACCTTTCAAAGGCCCCCCTGCTTCACAACATCACCTTGGGCCTTAGGTTTCAACATAAGAGTTTTGTGGGGGGGCACAAACATTCAGACCTCGGCCCCTGGTATGGGGATGTGCAGAGGCCCAGGGAAAGAAGCATGCCCTCCCACAGTGAGGCTTCTGAATGGAAACAGTACAAGCTGGGGTGGGAGAGACGCATTCCGCTTAGATGGAACTCGACTACCTAAGAAACTATTGGACAGAACCAGATTTTTACATGCCAAACAAAAGGGCCTATGTGATTATTTCTAGAGTACTCAGAAAATCAATACGACATGCCTGAGAGTTCATCCAGGAATGGAGAAAAGAGTAAGTCCAAAAATGTAGGTTCAAAGGTCCATGGAAGAAGGAATTAAATTGCTTAATATTTTCACACTATCAGGTCTTGCTCATTTGGTATGAGTTAGTAGAATTTTTTTTGTGTTAAAAATTTGCATTTAGAAGGCATTACCTGGCTACCATGTGGAGAATGGATTGGAAGGGAGCAAGAATACATTAAGGGAGACCCTGAGGAGTGATCAGTAATCTTTGTGAAAGATGATGGAAGTCTGGAGGAGAGTGATAGCAGGAGAATTGAAAGGAGTGCAGGCCCTTGAGATATAAATATAAATATGTAACAACAAACTGCTTATGAATTCAGTAACACTTTTACATGTTTGTGTTTATTGTATCAGCATTCATATACCTTTAAAAATATTAAAATACTTTGTGGTAGTTTGGGTCCTTGGAGTTGCAGCTACCAAGATGGGATTAAACACAAGGATTTTATTAGGGGCAATAGCCCCCAAGGAAAGGAAATAGGGAGAGGGTGGGGCAGCCTGGGAGAGCCATGACATCCCAATTCAAGTTTGACCTGTAGTGAGGGGTTGAGGGAGATTGGGTGGCAGCATCCTAGCATGCAGTGTAGGCATTGAGGGATCCTTGAAACAAAGGTCCACAAAGGAAGCCTATCTCCCAGGAATGAGCCTGCCCTAGTACCCCCACTGTGCTCAGCTCCATGCACAGATGGTGTATTAGTCCGTTCTCACACTGCTGTAAAGAACTACCTGACACTGGGTAATTTGTGAAGAAAATAGGTTTAATCGACTCACAGTTCCACAGGTTTAACAGAAAGCATGAATGCAAAACCTCAGGAAACTTACAATCATGGTGGAAGGCAAGGGGGACGCAAGCACCTTCTTCACATGGCAGCAGGAGAGAGAAAGCGTGCAAAGAGGGAGGTGCCACACATTTTTAAACTATCAAATCTCATGAGAACTCACTCACTATCATGAGAATAGCAAGGGGGAAATCTGTCCTCATGATCCAGTCACTATCCATCAGGCCCCTCCTCTGACACGTGGGGATTACAATTCGACACAAGATTTGGGTGGGGACACAGAGCCAAACCGTATCAGATGGGTTTCAAAGAACAGTAACTGGGGCCCTCGGTATATGACACTCCTTGTAGGAGTCAGTCTTGCATTCTCAAGGCCACCATACTTTTTTTTTTTTTTTTTTGAGACAGGGTCTCACTCTGTCACCCAGGCTGGAGTGCAGTGGCATGGTCTCGGCTCACTGCAACCTCTGCCTTCTGGGTTCAAGCGATTCTCCTGCCTCAGTCTCCATAGTAGCTGGGACCACAGGCACCCGCCACTGTGCCTGGCTAAATTTTGTATTTTTAGTAGAGACGGGTTTCACCATGTTGGCCAGGCTGGTCTCGAACTCCTAACCTCAGGTGATCCACCCACCTCAGCCTCCCAAAGTTCTGGGATTACAGGCGTGAGCCACTGTGCCCAGCCCACTGCACACTTCTATATTTGCATTTTATTTACTCAGGCTACAGCTTGACCCTGAGGATTTCCTGCAATAGCTCTGAGGTCTCTCATCACTTGCAACAACTCAGAGACTCACAAAGAGCTGAGAGATTCTGAAGCAGAGTGGGTATATTCCATTGTCTCTCACATCTGTCTTTTCCTGCTTTTTATTTACCTGATATTTCTACACATTCTTCTCTCCTACAAATCTTCTCACATCCAGCATATCAAATTCACAATTCACAGACAATTCCTCTTTGTGTGAAAACGGAAACCGTTTTTCTGATTTTCCATTCCCTGACTTCTTTTCTCTTCCCCTTCACCCTGTCCTAACTCCCCTTTTCTGCCTTGCCAGTTTCCAGCCTGTTATAACCCCTCATGAATGAACTTTTTCCTCTCCTCTCAGCTCTTTTCCTTTCCTCTCCCCCTTTCTCTGGCTCTAGATTTTTGGATAAAGTTAAACTTTTCCACAAAACATTAAAGCTGTGTAGCTTCTGCTGGCCTTCCTGGTGCTCTGTAATCACTTCTTGTTGATAACTTACGGCACGCTCCTCAACAACAGCCTGCATTCCCTGCACTGTCCTTAGGAAACTCAAAAAAAAACCCCTTTGATTCTGTCTCAGAAGATGGTGTCATTTCCTACTGTCTAGCCATAGAACAAGAGGTACTCATCTTCTCAGGATCTCAGTTTCCTCATCCTTAAAATGGGCAAATTCAAGTTCAAGGATAGTGATGGGGATTAAATGGGCTCTGGGTGCACAATTATCATGACAGCCCATGCATATCATTTAGGAAATGTTAATCATTATTACATCTATTAATAAATTATATTACAGTATTATTATCCTCTTCCAAATCAAATGTCAATAAGCCAAGCATTGTTTAACAGGCTTTTGGGTTAACATGGCATATTTTGATGATAAAGAAACAAATCTCTTTGTCAAGGTGGCTAGTTTGCTTTGAAAGATGAAGCCTCAAAATGTTATCTCATTCTATTATGTCTCTAAGGCTGAGATAGTTAATAAATCACACCCAAACTCAGAAGCAAATAATAACCTCATACACATTTTTTCTTTTCAAAAATTATTGCTAAAATGCAATGTTCCTGGTCTTTACATTCATGTGGTATGAATAGCAGGAGAGTCTAGTCAGATATTTTGCTCTAAGTTCTTTATCTGATGCTTGCATATTACTTATTTTATTTTTATTATTTATTTATTTATTTTGGAGACACAGTCTCACTCTGTTGCCAAGGCTGGAGTGCAGCAGCATGACCTTAGCTCACTGGAACCTCTGTCTCCTGGGTTCAAGTGATTCTCGTGCCTCAGCCTCCTGAGTAGCTGGAATTACAGGCACCCACCATTATGCTTGGCTAATTTTTGTATTCTTAGCAGAGATGGGGTTTCGCCATGTTGACCAGGCTGGTCTTGAACTCCTGACCTCAGGTGATCCACCTGCCTCGGCCTCCCAAAGTGCTGGGATTACAGGCATGAGCCACCACGCCCAGCCATATTACTTATTTTAGTTTTGTAAAAAAACAAACTTCCTTATTCAGTGTTGGAAATCACAACCATTAAGCAGATTACCGCATCAGTTTTTCTAGTACTGCACTAATCCTGCCATAAAAATTAGCTTTTTGTCTTATTCCTCAGGACCCCTTGTTAAAACCAGACTTTTCTTATTTAGTTTTATGCATCTCTACTTCTCTCAGGCAAGTTTTTTCTACACTTACAGATTTCTCATTGTCACAAAGAAACAGTGAACATCTACAGGAGAAGGGAAAATGTTGATAAAGTCATTTGATAAAGCATTGATCCTTCTCAACTGCTTCCATGTTTTGAGTTTGCGCTTTGTATTTGGGTTCACAAGGTCAGTTCCATTCTGGGTCTTGACTCTGAGTCAGAAGTGACATATGCTTCCATTTATTGACACCTCTATTCTACCCATTAGTATTAGTTTCCCAGGGCTGCCATGGCAAAGTATCACAGACACTGGGTGGCTCAAATAACAGAAATTCACCTCACAGTTTTGAAGGCCAGAAGACAGATCAAGGTGCTGCAGGGTGGATGTCTTTTAAGAGCCTTCTCTTTGGCTTGTAGATGGCTGTTTTCTCCCTCTGCCTTCTCATAATTTTCCTTCTGTGTGGTGTTTGTGCCCTAACCTCATCTTCTTGTAAGGACACAAGCCATATTGCATTAGGGCTACCCTAATAACCCCATTTTTAAAAGGCCCCTTCTCCAGAGACAGTCACATTCTGAGGTACTGGGAGTTAAGGCTTTTACAGATAAAAACTGGGGGGCACAATTCAGCCCATAACATAATTTTGGAGAAAACCTGGAGGAAATGTTCTTCTGTTAAAAACTGATAGTTGCTGTCTATCAGATAGGGCATCCAGGCAAGTCACTCAAAGTGTATATTTGAATGGAGAATCTTTTTTCACAATGAATTGTGACAAAAGTTTAATGAGACACTTTCATAAAAGTATATAAAGGTTTGTTTTGAATGCAGCAGGACAGTAAAAATAACAGACAATTTGGATCTCAAAAGGAGTGCAACAATGCCTGGGATGGAAAAATAAACTAAATGAATGTCTTATTTGCTAACATAAACATCTTTTCTCTGCTATTTCAATGCTTGGAAAATAAGATAATGAACTGTTTGTGCTGAAGAGATAATATAGTCTAAATTTCAGCCCGGGAAGGACTTGGGCAGAAATGCAGGTACTGACAAACAGATGGTAAGGGGAGCTCTGTTCTGCAATCTGTGTCCTCAGGAACTGAAGAAGAGTCCAGATTAGTTTCAAATCTCCTCACGTCCTTTCAGCTGTGGGGCAGCCTTCTTCTGATTGCTTAAAAGGAATCAACCCTAACAAGACATCTGAATATGAAGTTTAATGTCTGCCTCTTCCAGAAAACTATTTTGGTATCTCTTTTTGACTGGCGTACTTTCATCTTTGCATCTCTCACTTAGTTGAACATCACACAATTCTCCTGCAGATTGTTATTGAAACAAAAACCTAAAAGAAAAAAGAACCTTAAAGACTTAGGCCAATCCTCTCCTTGATTTAAAATTACATCCAAGTACAAGTTTTAGAAAATTAGCTGGAACTCTTTCAACATACATTTACCAGGAGATTTGCACTACAATTCAACCCTTTCTAGATGATCTTGGTCATATTACCCTTTATAAACCTAGGAAGCCGCTCTACCACTCACCATAAAATGAAGATTTATTGTTTGTTATGGAAAACAGGTAGGATTTGCATACTGCACAATGTATTCACATGGGTGTGCAGCATTCCCAGAAAATAATTATCATTTAAACCAATAGGGCATGGAATTCTTGCAATGTTTCTGTAAAAATACTTTCTTTGTTCAAAACTATGTTTGACTACTGTTTAACATTGCATCTAGAGCAGCACTATCCAACAGAACTTCCTGTGAGGATGGATATGTTCTATAAAATCTTTACTATCCATACATAATATACAAATTCATAATATACAAATTCAGAGAAGTGAGCCAACCTTGAACGTCTGACTCATTCATTCATTCATTTGTCAAACATTTACTGAGAGCCTGATTTGGCTTAGGTAATGTGGCTAGGCCCTGGGAATACAATGGTGAATAAGATACAGCCCCTACCCTCAAGGAACATGTGAGCTAAGAGGAACATGTACAGACAATTAGAATACTAGAGGATGTCTGTAAGTTTTATGGTGGTGGTTACAGGGTCCTGAGGAAAAGTACAGAGACACCCAACCCAGTGGGGGGAGAAGGATCCAGGGTTCAAGAGTTGGAATATGCTATGTACTTTAATTAATTTTTCACAGTAAATGTCGCCTCATCCCCATTTTGCAAGTGAAAAAACTTAGTCTCAAAAGCTGCAGTGATTTACCCAAGTCCACATGAAATCTATTCAACCAGGTAACTTTAGTGGCCAAAAACCATGTGATTGCTACTGCTGTACCAAAATAACAATGGACATTTCTTTTAAGAAGCTTTTCAAAATTGCCCATCTTCTGCTTGTTGTTATAAAAATAAGGAAGAGATTTTCAAATAAGGTAAGAACAGTGAGGCGACTCCTGTAGTATTCTATGTTAACAAATGATTTGTTAGTTAATTGTATATGTAAAGACATCTTACTTAGAGTTTATTAGATTTTATGTTTGTCATTATTCCATCAAAAATAATAGATATTATTAACTTGGTTAGAAAGCAGTACTTCACCTTAGACAATTTCTATTCATAGAATACTTCCTGGAAAGTTGAAGGTACAAAGTTTTTCTATATTTCCTCATGAGAATACTTCCAATGACATTACATCTTTGTTTCTGGTCATAGTTCCTTAATCAGATGGCTTTTACAATTTTTCCATCTGTTGTCTAAATCTCCTCCTACATTTAGAGAAACTATAAACAACGCATCCATCGTATAACTCACTAAATGAGACTGAACACTTTGTCAAGATGATTTTTTGAAGAAGTAAGGGAAATGTTCAATTTATCAAGACATTTTCCAGGAAAGCATATTTACTCATCAAGTTGGGCATGTGTGCTCTCTATTATAATATGTCACCAAAAATTATGTGAATGAACTGAATCCTTATCAAACATTTTTGATTGTGGATTGACCAGAAGTCTAATGCAGAATGGAAAATACCCTTGGAAACATTTGTTTAATGAAAAATTTTAATCTCCATCCTCCATTCTCCCTTCCATCTCTCTCTTTTTTTCTTTTTTGTAAAAATCATGCTGAGATTCAATAGTAACTATGTATACAAGAATTTGTTTTCTCTCATGTAGTACTTGCATAAATTCCTAATATTCGGGACATGACATTTGAGGACAAACGTGCTTTGATTCTACCAAACTGCTTTCCTTTATACTTGTACTGCTGAGAAGTAAGTGAGTTTTTGGGACTCCATTCTTGAGTTTTGCAAATCTATATGATGAAAGAACTGATCAAAACAGATTATTCTTCAATGAGTTCTTAGAAACACAGAGATATTTTGGAAGAATCTAAAGTTAAATAGAAGCCACAGAGAGTGAAAACAGTCTCTGAATGGCAGAATTCAAGTTTCTAAGACAGGAAGGTGGGAAGAGAGGGGATGGAAAAAGAACAAACATTTTTATTTTTGGCAACTATAACGTCAGAAAAGGAAGAGGAAAAGTAGATTAAGTTTGTGACAGTTTCATCATCAGCAGGGCCATAAACTCAGTATTATAGTTATGTAAGAATGCTAGCCATTTATGATTACCTCTCATGGTTCAGTATGGTGGGTTCAGCTAGAAAGGTCTCACCAGGGGTTGCTTATGCAGTTGTAGTCAAGTGTTGGCATCTGAAAACTCAACTGAGCTGGGTGCTCCAGAGGGATCCCTCACATTGTTGGCATTTGGCTGGCTTAGATGGGGCTATTAATTTGAGTACTACATGTCCTTTTTCATGAGCTTGGGCTTCCCTCAGCATGGTGGCTGCATTTACAAAAATAGTTTCACAAGAGCAACTAAGAGACCCAAGTGGAAGCTGCAAAGGTTCCTGTCACTTAGCCCTGCAAATGCATCATATCACTTCCACCACCTTCTATTCATCAGGTAAGTCATTAAATTCAGATCCTATTCAGAGGGAAACTGATGGGGAATGGAAGAACACATTGCAGAGGAGCATGTGTGAAGGCTGATCTTATTACATCCATCTTTGGAAAATACAATTTGTTACAGTCTGGACACACATTTCACACATCTCTTACATGCAAAATACAATTACTTCCAAAGTCTTATCAGCTCCAAATCCAGATCTTGTCATGAGATCAAGTCCCAATTGGTTAAGGATTCTTTGGTCTGGGCGTGGTTCTTCGAGCACAACTCCTTGGGGACGGTCCTTTATCTGCTCCTCTGCTGTGGTTGTCCCACCAACCTCTCTGAGGGTGGCACAATGGATAGGGAGAAAGGTGAAGGGGGCCAGAATGTTTACCTGTAGTACTGTCTTAAGAATATTGTGTAGGCCCTGGGCCTGGTAGATGTTTGATCCTGTCCCTTTTTCTGTGGGCACTTTTGTGAAGTCCTTAGCCTCTCCTACTGAGCCCCTCTGACTGTGGTTCTTTTTCGGGGAGGTCCACCCTTCACTAACTCACTCTGTCTGTATCACACTGCCCTCCCAGCGAGTCTTTCTGAGTAAAAATAAGTTGTTTCTGGCTTAGTTTAATAAATGACACAGTTTATTTCATCTCTTCCTAGTTCACCCACATGATTTCATCAAAATGATAAAGAGGCTTATTTATTTATGGACAAAGAGAAGTGTAACCAGCTATTTTCCTCCCCATTTTCCTACCTCTGGTCCTATGTGAAATGGTTTTCACTGTAGGAACATCTTTTTCTCTTTGGGGGAGCATGTAGCTTACTGGGCATCCAGGAAGTGGCTCAACCCTACAGGGCCTCACATTTCCTAACTCTCAAAGAGGTAAAAGAGTAAATTCTAGAAGAAGGGTTTCAAAGTGTTTTCCAAGAAGAAATAAATGTCATGTTAGCTCTATTGGCTCTGGTGCATGAACTTTTATACATTTCCACTCTTCTACTGTTTTGCTAGTTCCTGGATACCAAAACTAAGTCTTCATTGAGCTCTACCCTCAACACTGTATTATTATTATAATGAGACTGGGCTCATTCCTCATTGCCTTATTTCTTCTCCAGGTCCAGGCAGCTGACTGAGGTCCAATTATCATAGACTCAACTACTTTATTTAATGAAAGTAATTTAATAAATCAGGCAAAGTGGAATTTTAAGCCAAAAACACTAAGTCAGATAAAGACAACTAATTTATATTAATAAAATATGTAATCTATCAAGAAGATAAAACAGGGATGAATATTTAAATACTGATTAACAACATAAAATCCATAAAATTAAGAAATGAATAGAAGTAAAAGGAAAAATAGAAAAAAAAAAACCCACAGTGTAGGAAACACTCCCGTCAAAGGTTGACATTTCAAGTGATAAAATAATAATAGTCATGTAAGGCATTTTGAAAACAGTTAGTTCAATTGACTTAACAGCCATAAAAATAGAATTTGGATGCCTTGCTATTTGGCACCTCTCTGCTTTAAGTCATGCTGTTCCTTCGGTCTAGAAAGCCCTTTCCTGCTGTCTCTATTTACTTATTTTTAAGTCCGTCTTCAAATGCTGGTTTCTCAAGGATGCCTTCTCCCCAGTAGGATTAAGCACAGCATCCTACATATCCCTGCATCCTGGACTTATTTTATTGTGCTTTCTAGTGTCTCTGGTTATTTCCTAGTCTGGTTTCTCATAGATCATGAGGGCAACAGTCATATTCCCATCTTTGCATCCCCAATATTCAGTACACTGCATGGTGGGTGTGGGTCTCTCTCTTTCATCAATGGAGGTGAGGCCTATTTTGGAAAAACTAGAGTATGCTCAGTAGCTAGACCATTGAGCCAATAGAAGGCCCATCTATATTAAGATGATTTCATTCCTTCTCAAAACGGCCAAATTACCTGAAGGGCTCTGCTATTTCCCATAGAAGGAAATGGCATTAGAGAGAAAAATCAAAAGCCATCAAGTGTAGAAAGTAATGGGTTCAAGATATTTAAAGATTGGAATTGTCAAAGAAAAGATAAATATCAGCCCAACAAGAAAGCAAAGCGTTTTCCTCTTCCTGACTAAAACACAGCATCCAGACAAGCTACTCAGCCGGCCTCTGCCTCACATGCCAATGTGGTTCGAAGTGTGCCCACCCACACCCACTTCCCAGGAGCTGTGTTGTGGCAACTGAGAACCAGCTGAGCTCAGCCGCACTGCTGCACCTGAGGAAATGGAGCAGAGAGGCCTGGTGGTGCAGGTGTTGGGCTTATATCCTGTCCTTTCACAAGAGCAGCCTGAAGCCAAAATGTGGGTGGGGAGTGTCTTCTGAAGACTTGCTAATCTCATTTAGTACCTTGGTTTTGGAAGGGTTTCTGAGAGGCAACTTGTCACTGTGACTATGAGGGAAGATTTATCTGCTTAAGTTGGTCCATGTCTAATTCTGCCTCCTGATATAGGCACTCTCCGTTAACTCGATCTTATTTTATCATAGTGGTGACAGATGGGAATTTTTGTGAAGAATTTTACCAAGAAACAGATATAAAATAAAAACAAACAAGGGAAGCATGATAGCGAGAAGCAACTGAATGTATTTTAATTCATCGGTTCATTTAAGAAATATTCTTGGAGGGCCTACTTGTGATAAACTCTTCTTAGGATTTTCTGTGAAAACTTTTCAGAAAGGTAACGTCAGAGGTGGGTAGTAGATGTTCACCAGCTGAAGGAGGAAGGGGGTCACATAGCAGGCTTTGCAGGCAGAGAGTACAGCATGTACAAGAATGCATGAAAGAGCATGGTGTGCTTCATGAAATGATAAGGAATTTGGTGTTTTGGTGTAGTCAAAATGAAAGAAGTTGGTAAGGGAAGGGGATTAAGAATCAGGTCCCAACCAAATCCCAAATCCCATTTTTGGGATGAGTTCAGCTTTATCATTTTCTATTCTTCTTTAACTGAGATACAAACTCCCACGGGGAGCACAAAATGTTATATGCAAGCGATGAAATAATTGTGACTTCCCTGTAGAATTCTCGGGTACTTTTGAGTAATTGGGGGATCTTTAACAGTTTGATCACATACATGCACAAGAAAAATAATCAGACTAGGATCTCCTCCATGTTAACCAACCTTTCTCAGAAAAGTCCAGACTAGGCTGGGCATGGTGGCTCACACCTGTAGTCTCAGCACTTTGGGAGGCCCAGGTGGGCAGATGATTTGAACTTAGGAGTTCGAGACCAGCCTGGGCCACCTGGCAAAACCTTCTCTCTACACAAAATACAATAATTAGCTGGGCATGGTGGTGCATATCTGTAGTTCCAGATACTCAAGAGGCTATGGTGAGAGGATCACTTGAGACCAGGAGGTAGAGGCTGCTGTGAGCCATGATTGAACTATGGCACTCCAGCATGGGTGACAGAGCAAGACCCTGTCTCAAAAGAAAAAAAATCTAGATTATATGCAGTAGTAATTTAAAAATTTGTTACGCTTGTGTTATTGGTGTGGAGGGGAATATGTCATAGAGTAATTTAAGTTAATACAAAAAGTTTACCCTAACTAGCAATGTTTGCATAACTAGTTTGTAGTTGCATTGCTAGTTTGTATGGCTGGAAATTGTCCAAGAAAAAAATGAGTAAGCTGGTATATTTGATTTTAGTGATTCTATACCTTGACTTTAAAAAACGTAGTTTTAAAATTTTTTATAAGCAATGATTTATTTTATAAGTAAGATTTTCACCTCTCAAATCAATGTCTGTTTATTAGTTTGGGTCACAGTAAAAAGCATTGCCTTTAAAAATCCATTCATCTTCCTGCCACATTTTATTTTAAACCTAGACATAGATTGGTGGTTAAAAAGAGAAGTTTGAAACATTAGGTTGAAGCCAATGAAAATAAACATAATGAAAGAAATTCAGAACAATCTGAAATCATTAAGGGTTGTGACAGACATGGCACAGTCTCTGAGGTTGCCTCCAGGGAATCTGACCATGAAGTAAATGATAGGTCTCCCCTCAAACCCAAACAGTGAAGCAGAAGCAGTCCATCTAAAAGGAAGAAAAGAGATTTATATTCTTATCTTAAAACATGGATTTACTTCCTGGGAAATGCAATGAAACTAAAACGTGATTCCTGTGTGAGAAAGCCCTGAGCAATAATTGCATGAACCAGTCACTCCTGAGGTGACATTTAAAAATCAGTCATTTATAAACCATTTCCATCCTGGAGCCAGATAGTCTGATTTTGACAGCAAAAAAGGTAATTTTTTAATTACCTTCAATATACTTAAAAATAATATATTTAATATATTATATTTAATAATTTAATTGGTCACTCAATGGACCATCGAAGAGGAAGTCTATTCTTTTTTATGTTTTTATTAGGGTAAGAACATTTAACATGAGATCTGCCTTCTTAATGAATTTTTATTAAGCACAATACAGTATCGTTTTTAACTTTAGGTAAAATATTAGATAGCAGATGTCTAAAATTCATTTATTTTGTATAATTGAAACTCTATAGCTGCTGAAAAGCAACTCCTTGTTTTTCCCTTCTCCAGCTCCTGGCAACCACCCTTCTACTTTCTGTTTCTATGAGTTTGACTATTTTAGATGCCTTAAGAAAGTGGAATCATGCAGTATTTGTTCTTCTGTGGCTAAGATATTTCACTTAACATAATGTCCTCCAGATTCATCCATCTTGTCACCTATGGCAAGATTTCCTTCTTTTTTAAGGCCAAATAAGATTTCATCACATATTCCACAATTGATTTATCCATTCATCATTGATGGACATTTAGATTATTTTCACATGTTGGCTATTATGAATAATGCTACAATGAATGTGACGGTGCAGATATCGCTTTGAAATCCTGTTTTTATTTCCTTCGGATGTATACTCAGAAGTGAGATAGTTGGATCCTGTGGCAATAATATTTTTCATTTTTTGAGGAACATTTTCCTTTGTGTTTTCCTTTGTGGCTGCACACTGTTTTCCTTAGTGTTGTACCACCAATAGTGTACAAGGGTCCCCCTATTTTACATTCTTACCAACACTTTTTATTTTTTTGATTTTTGGATAATAGCCATTCTAACAGGCATGATGTGATATCTCACTGTAGTTTTGATTTGCATTTCCCTGAGGATTAGTGATGTTGACTACCTTTTCAATAGGTATCTATTGGCCATCGATATGTCCTCTTTGAAGAGATAATTCAACCTTATTCGGGTCCTTTGCCCATTTTTAATTAGGTTATTATGGGTTATTGATTTGTAGGAGTTTCTTATAATATTTTGGATACTAGTCAATTATCAGATATATGATTTGCAAATATTTTCTCCCATTCTGTAGGTTGCCCTTCATTCTGTTGGTTGTTTCCTTTGCTGTGCAGAAGCTTCTTAGTTTGACATAGTTTCACTTGTCTAATTTTGATTTAGTTGCTTGTACTTTTGGTGGCACATTCAAGAAATCATTGTCAAGCCCAATGTCATGAAGATTTTGACCTATGTTTTCTTCTAGGAGTTTCACAGTGCCAGGTCCTATGTTTAAATCTATTTTGAGTTGATTTTTATGCATAGTGTAAGATAATGGTTCCATTTCATTCTTTTGCATGGGGATATCTAGTTTTTGCAATACTATTTGTTGAAATGACTGTCCTTTCCCCATTGTGTATTTTTTCACCCTTGTCAAAGATCAACTGACCATTGATGCATGGGTCTATTTCTGGGCTCTATATTTTGTTCTATTTAGTCTACATGTCTGTTTTTATGCCAGTAACATACTGTTTTAATTACTATAACTTTGAAATAGCCACACAGGGTCAGGTGCAGTGGCTCATGCCTGTAACCCCAGCACTTTGGGAGGCTGAGGGGGGTGGATCATGAAGTCAGGAGATCGAAACTATCCTGGCCAACATGGTGAAACTCCGTCTCTACTAAAAATACAAAAATTAGCTGGACAAGGTGGCAGGTGCCTGTAATCCCAGCTACTGGGGAGGCTGAGGCAGGAGAATCACTTGAACCAGGTAGTCGGAGGTTGCAGTGAGCCGAGATCATGCCACTGCACTCCAGCCTGGGAACAGAACGAGACTCTGTCTCAAAAATATGAAAAAGAAAAGAAAAAAGAAATAGCCACACAGTAATAATGGGGGACTTCATTACCCCCACTGACAATGTTAGACAGATATCAAGGCAGAAAATTGACAAATTCTGAACTTAAATTCAATAGTTGAATAATAGGACCTAATAGATATCTACAGAATACTCCACCCATCAACCACAGAATATATTCTTCTTACCTGGACGTGGAACATATTCCACAATGAACCACATGCTTGGCCATAAAGCAAGTCTCAATAAATTCAAAAAAATTGAAATTATACCAACCATACTCTCAGACTACAGTGGAATTGAAATAGAAATCAATACCAAGAAGACCTTCCAAACCATATAATTAAACCATGGAAATTCAACAATTCACTCCTGAATGACTTTTGGGTAAATAATGAAATTAAGGCAAACATAATAAAATTCTTTGAAATAAATAAAAACAGAGACACAACATAACAAAAATCTCCAATACGGCAAAAGCAGTGCTCAGAGGAAAGTTTATAGCACTTAACACCTACCTCAAAATGTTAGAAAGATATCAAATTAGCAATGTAACATCACACCTGGAAGAATAAACTAACCCTAAAGCTAGGAGAAGAAAATAAATAACTAAAATCAGAGCAGAACTGGACAAAATTGAGACCCAAAAATCCATACAAACAACCAATGAAACCAAAAGTTGGTTCTTTGAAAGGATAAACACATTCAATAGACTACTAGCTAGATTAACAAAGAAAAAGAGAGAAGATCTAAATAATCACAATCAGAAATGACAAAGGTGATACTACAACTGATCCCACAGAAATACAAAAGATCTTCAGAGGCCATTATGAATACCTTTATGCATACAAACTAGAAAATCCAGAGAACATGAATAAATTCCTGAAAACTCACAACCTCCCAAGATTACATCAGGAAGACACTGAAACATAAAACAGACCAATAATGAATTCCAAAATTGAATCAGTAGAAAACAAAAACACCTAGCAACCAAAAAAAGCCCCAGACTAGATGCATTCAAAGCCAAATTCTACCAGATGTACAAAGAGCTGATACCAACTCTACTGAAACCATTCCAGAAAAACTGAGGAAGGACCCTTCCCTAACTCATTCTATGAAGGCAACATTCCCCTGATACCAAAGCCTGGCAAAGACACATGAAAAAAGAAAATTACAGGCCAATATTTCTGATGAACACAGACACAAAAATCACCAAAAAACACTAGCAAACCAAATCCAGCTGCACATCAAAAAGGTAATTCACCATGATCAAGTAAGCTTCATTCCTGGGATGCAAGGTTGGTTCAACATAAGAACATCAATAAATGTGATTCACCACATAAACACAATTAAAAACAAAAATCATATGATCATCTCAATAGACCCAGAAAAAGCTTTTGATAAAATCCAACATCCCTTCATGTTAAAAACCCTCAAGAAACTAGGCACTAAAGGAACATGCCTCAAAATATTAAGAGCCATCTGTGACAAGCCCACAGCCAGCATCACACTGAATAGGCAAAAATGAGAAGCATGAACACAGGACATCTTTTACGTATTTGTGTCTTCTTCAATTTATTTCATTTACTGTTTTATTTCATTTTCAAGTTTTTGTGTAAGACCTTTTACCTCATTTAAATGTATTCCTAAATATTTTATGTTTTTCTGATGCTATTATAAATGGGATTGTTTCCTTGATTTCCTTTTCAGCTATGTTGGTGTAAGAAATGGAGCTAATTTTTGTATGTTGTATTTTGTATTCTGCAACTTTACTGAATTTGCTAATTAGTTCTAATAGTTGTTTTGTGTGTGGAGTCTTTAGAGCTTTCTATATATAAGATCATGTCATCTGCCAACAGAGATAATTTTACTTTTTACTTTTTCCTACTTTACTTTTTCCAAATTTTACTTTTTCCTGATTTGCATGCCTTGTATTTCTTTTTCCTGTTTGATTGCTCCTGCTAGTACTTTCAGAACTATGTAGAATAGAACTAATGATAGTAGGAATCCTTGCCGTGTACTCAGCAGGAATCCTTGACTTGTGCCTGGTCTCAGAGGAAAAGCTTTCAGTTTTTCCTCACTGACTATAATGTTAGCTGTGGGCTTTTCACAAATGGCCTTTCTTGTGTTGACCAAATTTCTTTCTGTACCTATTCAGTTGAGAGTTTTTTTATTATAAATATATGCTGAACTTTTTCAAGTGATTTTTCTGCATCTATTGAGATGATCATGTGGTAGTTTTCATTCTTAACCTAATTTTACACCTCGAGGAATTAAAAAAACAAGAGCAAACTAAACCAAAAGTTTGTAGAAGAAAAAATACATATTAGGGCAGAAATAAATGAAATAAAGAAGAAAAAAACTATTTAAAAAGTCAACAAAACTAAGAATTGCTTTTTTGGAAAAAATACACAAAATCAACAAACTCTTAGCTAGATGAAGAAAAAAATATGGACAACTCAAATAAAATGAGAAATAAAAAAGGAGATATCACAATTGATATGTCAGAAATAAAAAAGATCATAAGGGACTATTATTAAAAATTATAAGCAAACAAATTAGATAACCTAGAAGAAATGGATACATTCCTGGAACCATATACCCTATCAAGACAGAATCAAGAAGAAATGAAAAGCCTGAACAGAACAAGAATAAATAGAAAGTTGAAGTAGTAATAAAAAAAAACCTTCCAACAAAGGAAAGCTCAGGGCCAGGTAGATCCATGGCTGAATTCTATCAAATATTCAAATAATAATTGGTGATACTTATTTTTTAAATTCTTCCAGAAAAATAGAAGTAGAGGTAATACTTTCAAACTGTTTTATGAGACTGCTTCACCCTCATACAAAAGCCAAATGAGGACACAAGAAAAAAAGAAAACTACAGACCAATATCCCCAATGAAGATAGATGTAAAAATCCCTAACAAAATACTAGCAAACTGAATCCAACAGCATATCAAAAAAAAAAAAATAGCACAATCAAGTGGAATTTATTCCAGGGATGTAAGGGTGGTTCACTATACACAAATCAATAAATGTGATTCACCTCATAAGCAGAATTAAAAACAAAAACCATATTATCATCTCAATAGATGCAGAAAAATTTGATACAATTCAGCATCCCTTTATGACAAAAACCCTCGAAATATAGTAAGCATAGAAGGAACCTACCTCAAAATAATAAAAGCCGTATACAACAAATCCACAGCCAACATCATGCTGAATGGGGAAAAGCTGAAAGCATTCTCGCTAAGATCTAAAACAAGACAAGGATGGCCACTTTCATTAATCTCATTCAGCATGGTACTGGAAATCCTGTCCCAAGCAATCAGGCAAGAGACAGAAATAGACAGAAATAAAAGTCATCCAAATTGGAAATAAGAAAGTCAAATCATCTCTGTTGATAATATGATCTTATATCTAGAAAGCCCTTAAGATTCCTCCAAAAGACTACTAGATTTGATAAATGAATTCAGTAAAGTCTCAGAATACAAAATTAACATGCAAAAGTTTGTAGTGTTTCTATACATTAATAGTAATCAATCTGAGCCCCAAATCAAGAAGTCAATCCCATTTAAAATAGCTAGAGAAAAATATATTTCAAATATATTTAACCAAGGAGGTAAAAGATCTCTATAAGGAAAACTACAAAATACTGATGAAATAAATTGTAAATGACACAAATGGACGACCACTTCATGCTCATAGATTGGAAGAATAAATATTATTATAATATTATGATTAAGAATAAATATTATTATAATATTATGATTAAGAATAAATATTATTAAAATATTATGATTATACTGACCAAAGCAATCTATAGATTTAATGTAATTCCTATCAAAATACCATGCCATTTTTCACAGAATTAGAAACAACAAACCTAAAATTCATATGGAACTTAAAAAGAGCTCAAATAGCCACAGCAGTCCTAAGCAAGAAGAACAAAGCTGGAGGCATCATATTATCTGATTTCAAATTATACTACAAAGTTATAGTAACCAAAACAGCATGGTACTGGTATAAAAACAGACACATAGAACAATGGAATGGAATAGAGAACCAAGAAAAAAAAGCCACATTCCTACAGCTAACTTATCCTTAACAAAGTCAACAAATCATACAATGGGGAAAGGATACACTATTCCATAAATGGTCCTGGGAAAATTTAATTGCCATATGTAGACGAATGAAACTGGACCCCTATCTCTCACCATATACAAAAATTAACTCAAGATGAATTAAAGACTTAAGTTTAAGACCTGAAGCTATAAAAATACTGGAAGAAAACCCAAGAAAAACTCTTCTGACTGGCTTAGGCAAAAATTCATGACTAAGATCCCTAAAGCAAATGCAACAAAAACAAAAATAGGCAAGCAGAATTAATTAAACTAAATAGCTTCTGCTCAGCAAAAGAAAGAATCAACAGAGTGAACAGACAACATGCAGATTGGGAAAAATATTTGCAAACAATGCAACCAACAAAGGACTAATTCCAGAATTCACAAGGATCTCAAACAACTGAAATATATAGAGAGAGGGAGAGAGAAAGAGAGAGAGAGAGAGAGATACCCCCATTAAAAGTGTGCAAAGGACATGAACAGACATTTTGCAAAAGAAGACATAAAATGACCAAGTATATGAAAAAGTGCTCAATACCACTAATCATTAGAGAAATGGAAATTAAAACTGCAATGAGATACCATCTTACAGTAGCCAGAACAGCTATTATTAAAAAGTCAAGAAACAACTGATACTTGAGAGAATGTAGAGAAAAGGGAATACTTATACACTGTTGGTGGGAAAGCAAATTAGTAAAACCTCTATGGAAAACAGGATGAAGATTTCTCAAAGGACTAAAAACAGATCTACCATTCGATCCAGCAATTCTTCTTCTGGGTACATACCAAAATGAAAAGAAATTATTACATAAAAATGATAACTGCACCTATATGTTTATCTCAGCACTATTCACAATAGCAAAGATACAGAATCAATCTATGTGTCCAGCAATGAATGTTGGGATAAAGAATATGTGATATGTGTGTTTGTGTGTGTGTGTGTGTGTGTGTGTATATGTATATGTGTGTGTGTGTCTCTCTCTCTCTCTATATATATATATCACATAAATACTACACGGCCATAACAAAGAATGAAATAAAGTGTTTTGCTGCAATAGGGATAGAACTAGAGGCCACTGTCTTAAGTGAAATAACTCAGAAAGTCAAATACCACATGTTCCTACTAATAAGTGGGAGGTAAATTATGTGCACTCATTGACATAGAGAATAGAATAATAGATTTTGGCGACTCAGAAGGGTGGGAGGGAGAGGGACGAGAAATTACTTAATGGATACAATGTACACTATTCAGGTGATGTCTACACTAAAAGCCCAAACTTCACCATTATGCAATATATCCATGTAACAAAACAACATTCATACCCTCAGATTCATTTTAAAAATAAAAGAAATGATATGAGGGATTTACCATTGAAACAGAGTAAATTTTAAAAAGTAAAAAATACTGCTTTGCAGAATTCTACATAAACACATTTGAAAACGTACATGTGATGGATACACTCCTAGGATAATACAATTCTCCAGAATTGATTCTTCTAAAAGGAGAAAGCTTGAACAAAACAACTTTCTCAGACAAAATACTAGATAAGTTATTTTAAAAAATAACCTACAAATATGCATCAGGGCCAGGTAGTTTCACAGAGGAAAGTGTGCCAACTTTTCAAAGACCAGATAATCTCAATCCTGTTGAAATTCTTGCTAGGCATAGAATAAAGGTGAAAATCTTCCCCACTTCTTTTTATAAAGCAAGTAGAATTTTCATAGCTATATTTTATACTTTATAAAGAATAGGCTGAGTGCAATGGCTCATGTCTATAATCCCAGCATTTTGGGAGGTCAAGGCAGGAGGATCACTTGAGCCCAGGAGTTTGAGACCAGCCTGGACAACATAGTGAGACCCTGTCTCTACCCTGGGCATGATTGCCCAGCTACTCAGGAAGCTAAGGTGGGAGGATCACTTGAGCCGGGTAATCAAGACTGCAGTGAGTTATGATCACACCTCTGCACTCAAGCCTAGGCAACAGGGTGAGACCCTGTCTCAAAAAAAAAAAGTTAACATACAAAAATGAAAGCTATATGTCAATACCGTTCAAATGTTGATGCAAAACTAGAAAAATATTAGCAAGCTGAATTTATCAGCATGTTAATAAGTGGCATATCATGACTAAGAGGAATTTATTTCCCAAATACAAGGATCATTCAATATAAAGGAATTTATGAATTTAATTAACCATATTAATAGTCTAATGGAAAAATTATTTTAGTATCTCTACACAGGCAGAGAGATCTTTGAGAAAAACCTTAACATCCATTTCTGATGAAAACACTCAATAAAGTAGGAATTGAGATTACTTCCTTAACGTGATAAAAACCATGTCCTCTAGTACTTAAAATAGCCACTTTATTTAATGGGTAAACTTTCTCAATAAAGCAAGAATAACAACTATTTCCATTACTTTTTAGCAGTATATTGGAGGCCTCTAACTGGCAATATTGTATTTCTTAATGTGAGTGGTTACATGAATCATGATTTTATAATTATATCCTAAATTGTACATGTATGTTTTGTATATTTTTTGAATATGTATTTCAGAATAAAATGGTTAAAATATGCTACATAAAGAAACCATACATACATACATTTAAAAGAACTGTTTGTTGTAATTTATGCTTATTTGTACATTTAAGATTTGTGTCTGGCTGATGGATATAAAACCAGACATTTTCAGCAAAATAAAGAAAGCAGCATAGATTCAAAACATGCATCGTGATATATAAAATGGTTTTGTGGCCTTTTTATTGCTAGTGATAAAATTTTAAATCAGAGGTAGTTGATGTATTATTGTCAAGAAGAAAAGCACGCATATTTTTGAGATTTAAGTGTAAAACTCATCTGCAAAAGACAACCAACGAAAGTTAAATGCGGGTTTCAGTTCTGACATTTAAAGAGCTGGCGGTTATCATTTCCATCCTTACAACAAAAAGTTGGACAAAATGAAAATCAACACCTTTTCTTGGACCCATCAGAAAACTGATTTGGGGGGCAAAACACCACCCTGAAACCTAGAGAGGCAAGCAACTCTAAAGAGCCACAGCAAAATTTGCTTTCCTGGAACAGAAGCTACTGAAGCCTTAAACAGATAGAAATACTTAAATGGCAATTTTGATGGATTTCTGAAGGCTGCCCATGGACTTGTGTGAGAATATTTCCTGGGAGCCTTAGTTTTAGGGCGTACTCCACAAACACTTTTATGACTTTTCCCTCCAGGAAACCCAGCGAGTTCTCGTGAAGATCTGAGAAAGATTCCCCTTATGGCTCTGGCAGAGGGAAGGGAAGAGTAAGTATTGTGAAAAGTGCCTGCCTAGAGCCTTCCCTATAACAAAGGTCTACTTCTCATGGGGAAAGATTTTTCAGAGACTTGTTCCAGAGCTGTAGAAGAAATGCACTTCTCTCACTCTAGCCCCATCTAGTTTTCTTGCCTCATCTAAAAGGAGGAGGAAAAATTACACAAGAAGAATCATTTGTGAAAGTCACAGGTCAGACACAGGCCCACTGAAAGGCTGAGATTTAATTGGAAGATTAGAGTATGCTCACTCCCCACAACAATACACTTTACCTCCATACCAACAGGGTTCCAGTAAAATAGCAGTAAATTATAGCTGAAAGACCCATGAGACACAGATTTTTTTCTAAGGAGGATTACCTAGGGAAGCCCAAAGTGAAGATGGGAGACAAAAAATGAGGACATTAGAGATTCTTGAAGTTCTTTTACCTACAGCTACAAGGTGGATTAAAAATACCCAACTACGTGTTGTTTACAAGAAAATGTTTTAAATAAAAAGACACTAATAGGTTGAAAGGAAAAGGATAGAAAGATACAGCATGTTAATGCTAACCAAAGGAAAGCTGTAGTAACTACACTAGTTTTAGACAAAGCATTGCAGTGAGCCAAGGTAGCACCACTGCACTCCAGCCTGGGTGACAGAGCGAGACTCTGTCTCAAAAAAAAAAAAAAAAATTCATGGATAACATGGGCACCACATAATAATAAAACAGTCAATATTCTAAGAAAAATAAAAAAAAATCCTAAGCATGTATGCATCTAACAATAGGGCATTCAAATATGTGAGGCAAAAACTGATGGAACTGAAAGGATAAGTAGACAAATCTACTATTATAGTTGGAGTCTTCAACATCCTAATGTCAGTAATTGATAAATCGAGTGGACAGAAAATCAGTAAGAATTTAGTAGAAATGGAGAGCACTATGAGTAAATTTGATCTAACATTTATAGCATTCTTCATTTAACATCAGCAGAATATACATTCTTCTCAAGTTCACATAAAATACCTCCAGAAATCCACCAAAAGGAATTTGTATTGACAAAAATAAAACATGTTTTTACATATTTCGAGTGATAGAACATAGCATAGCAAATTTCAATCATGGCAAATATTAATATGTTCTCAGTCAATAAAGGAGTTAAACTAAAAATCAATAACAAAAATATAGCTATACAATCTCCTAAACACTCGTGAATGAAACTACACACTTCTAAATAATGCATGGGTCAAAGAAGCATAAAAAGAAATTAAAAATTATCTTGAACTAAATAAAAATGAAAACTCACCTTATCAAAATATGTGGAATGCAGCAAAAGCAATGCTTAGAGGGAAATTTATAGCATTAAATACTTATACAGATGGTTCCTGGCTTATGATGTTACAACTTATAATTTTTCAACTTTATGATGATGCAAAAGTGATATGCATTCAGTAGAAATTGTACTTTGAGCCCCCATACAACCATTCTGTTTTTCACTTTCAGTGCAGTACTCAATAAATTACACAAGATATTCAACACTATTATAAAATTAACTTGTGTTAGATGATTTTGCCCCAACTGTAGGCTAATGTAAGTATTCCGAGCATGTTTAAGGTCAACTAGGCTAAGCTATGATGTTTGCTAAGTTAGATATATTAAGTGGATTTTCTACTTCTGATATTTTCAACTTATGATGGGTTTATCAGGATGTAATCTCATCACAAATTGAGGAGCATCTGTATTAGAAAAGAAGAAAGATCTAATATCAGCAAACAAAGTCAATTGCTTTTGTATATTACATACCTATATGCACCTATAAACATACAAAACAGCAATAAAAATTGGAATTTGGAATATAAAAAAGTAATATTATTATTATTATTATTAGAGATGGAGCTTTGCTCTTGTTACCTAGGCTGGAGTGCAATGGCACGATCCCTGGTCACTGCAACCTCTACCTCCTGGGTTCAAGCGATTCTTCAGCCTCAGCCTCCCGAGTAGCTGGGATTGCAGGTGCCTGCCACCACGCCTGGCTAATTTTTGTATTTTTAGTAGAGACAGGGTTTCACCATGTTGGCCAGGCTGGTCTCGAACTCCTGACCTCAGATGATCCACCTGCCTCGGCCTCCCAAAGTGCTGTGATTACAGGCATGAGCCACCATGCCCGGCCCTGAAAAGTAATATTATTAAAAATGGCGCCCGGCCTTGAAAAGTAATATTATGAAAAATGGCATCCTGGGGGCCATTCTGAATTAAATTTTGTGAAAAGTATAAGGTCTATGTCTAAGTTCAATTTTTCCTACAGACGTTTAATTGTTCTAGCAGCATTTGCTAAAAACATCATCCTTTTTCCATTGAATTTCCTTTGTTCTTTTGTAAAAGACCAGCTGACTATATTTATATGAATCTATTTCTGGCCTCTGTATTCTGTTTCATTGATCTATGTGTGTATTTTTTCATCAATACCACACTGTCTTGCAATTGGGTAATGTAAACACTCTAACTTTCTTCTTCTTCGGTATCATGTTGGATATTCCCAAGTCTTTTGCCTTTCCATATAAACTTTAGAATCAGTTTGTAACATCTACAAAACGGCTTGCTGGCATTTTTACTGGAATTGCATTGAACTCACAGATAAATTTGGAAAGGATTGGTATCTTAATAATACTAACTCTTGCCATCTATGAACATAGACTTGGCTCTACATTTATTCAGTTTTTTTATTTTTTCTGGCACTTTTGCAGTTTTTCTTATATAGATCCCATACATATTTGGTAGACTTACATTTATGCATTTATGTATTTAATTTTGGGGAATGCTACTTTTATTTTTTTGCCTTTTATTGATTTATTTTTATTTTTTATTGATAAATGATAGATGTACATATTTTCATGGTACATGCAATAATTTGATACATTCATAAAATCAAATCAGGATAATTGAGGTATCCATTGCCTTAAATATTTATCTTTTCTTTACACTAGGAATATCTGCATTATACTCTTTTAGCTATATTGAATTTTACAATTCATTAAAGTTAATTATAGTCACCTCACTGATCTATCGAATGCCAGGTCAGGACGCCTTTTTTTTTTTTCTTTTTCTTTTTTTTTTTTTTTTTTTTTTGAGATAGTTTCTCTCTTGTTGCCCAGGCTGCAATGCAGTGGCATGATCTCAGCTCACTGCAACCTCCATCTCCTGGGTTCAAAAGATTCTCCTGTTAAGGCACTGTTAAGAAAAGAAAGACTAGGAAAATGCATTTGCAAAACAAATATCTGATAAAGAAATTATATCCAAAATATTTTTAAAACTATTTAAACTCAACAACAAGGAGCCAAATATCCCAATTTTTTTTAAAAAAAGGGCAAAAGATCTGAACAGAATTCTCATCAAAGAATATATATGGAAAAAAATTAACATATGTAAAAGTATGCAACATTATTTGTCATTAGGGAATTGTGAATTAAAATAACAATTAGATACCACTACACACTCATTAGACACACTTTTTAGAATAGCTAAAATCCAAAATATTGACATTACCATTTGCTGTCAAGGGTACAGAGCAGAAAGAACTCTCATTTACTGCTAGCAGGAGTGTAAAATGGTACAAGCTCCTTTGGAAGATGACTTGGTAGTTTCTTACAAAGCTAATATTTCTTATCACACGATCTAACAATCATGTTCCTAGGTATTTACCTATTTGACTAGAAAATACTGTGCACAAAACTTGCACATGAATGTTTATGGCAGCTTTATTCATAATTGGTAAAAACTGGAAGCAATCAAGATATCCTTCAATGGATAAATGGCTAGAGAAAATGTGGTACACCCGTAAAATAGGATATTATTTAGTAATGAAAAGAAATGACCTATCAAGCCACAAAAGACATAAATAACATAAATAACTCTTTTCAAAATTTGTTTTATTATCTTCTTTTTTTTGAGACGGAGTCTCACTCTGTCGCTCAGGCTGGAGTGCAATGGCGCGATCTTGGCTCACTGCAACCTCCGCCTCTCAGGTTCAAGCAATTCTCTGCCTCAGCCTCCCAAGTAGCTGGGATTAGAGGCACCTGCCACCATGCCCAGCTAATTTTTTGGTATTTTTAGTAGAGACTGGGTTTCACCATCTTGGCCAGGCTGGTCTTGAACTCCTGACGTTGGGATCTGCCCACCTCGGCCTTCTAAAGTGCTGGGATTACAGGCATGAGCCACTGCGCCCAGCCAATAAGTTTTTTTTTTTTTTTTTTTTTTTTTTAGAGGTAGAGTCTCACTCTGTTGGCCAGGCTGGAGTGCACTGGTATGATCATAACTAACTGCAGCCCTGGACTCCTGGGCTTAAGCGATCTTCCCATCTCAGCCACCCAAGTAGCTAGGATGACAGGTGTACACCACTGTTCCTGGCTAATTTTTATTTGTTTGTTTATTTTTTTCGTACAGACGGGAGTCTCGCTGTTGCTCAGGCTGGTTTCAAACTTCTGGCCTCAAGCAATCCTCCTGCTTCAGCCTCCCAAAGTACTGGGATTACAGGCATGTACCACCACTCCCAGCAACATGAGCGTGTCTTAAATGCATATTGCTAAATGAAAGAAGCTGGGCTGGAAAAGTTTCATACTGTATGATTTTAAGTATATGACAATCTAGAAAAGTAAGACTATTGAGATGATAAACATATCAGTGGCTTTGGGGAGTTTGGAAGTGGAGACTGGGGAGGAGTTGAAGCAGAGGATTTTTTTAGCACACTAAAACTCTTCTGTATGATACTTTATGGTGAATACAAGATATTAAATATATGTCAAAACCATTGGAATTTCACAGCACAAAGAATAAGCCTTATGTATGCAAATTTTTAAAATTATTTATGAGATCTGAGTACCTCAATATAGAATACAGAATGTGACAAAAGAATTTAAATGTATTACAAATGTATGAAACAATTTTACTAAACAGAATGAGAGAATAAGATGCTGACTGAAGTAACTTTGGCAATAAGTGAAGTGTGATAAAACACTACATAAGAACTATACTCTGGTTGATAATGTTGTTTCCCTCAAGGATATGGACTAACAATTCTGAAACTACTATACAAGTATGCTGGAATTCAAAATCAAGTAATGGATGGTAAAAGGTAGAAGGCAGGTTTCTCAATGTGGGAGTGGGAGTTTATAGATAAACAGGGGAGGAGGAAGATAGAATCACCCATACAATAATAATGGAAGAGAGTTGGAGAAGTGAGTATGAACTAATGTTTAGCTTACTATAGGACACAGATGGACACATATAGAAATATTTACAGATGTGAGTATATACATGGATTAGTATACACACATATTTCTTTGCTCTGTCAGTTGTCAGAGCCTAGAAGCAACAACAGTCCAGTGGCAATGGGCACACTTGACACCCAGATCTTGATTTCTAATACCATTCTCCAATAAAAGGAACCAGGGTTACTAGAAAACATAACTAATTCTAGGACTGGAGTAGGAAATATACAAGATGAACTGGGAGCATCTTGTAGTACCAGGAAATAAGAAAGTTCTCAAAGAAAACCAATAAACAAACACCATACATGGAATGATGGTGGTATGTCAAAAAGACCCAAGAGCTGACTGAAAGAGCTTTAAATGGCCAAAGCTGAAACAATTTTAGCAACAAAATATGGTAGTATTCAATTAAAATGCAAAGTATAAAATAAGTATCTATTAGTCCACACTGATAAAAAATGATTAAATAAATACATGGGCCAGAATAGAAAAATATCTCGTGAAGAATTTCAAATAATTTATGTAAATACTCTGCCCTTAAGAATACAGATCATAACTCTCTGCTTCTTAAGGATGGACTGTGCATAATAACGTTCTTTCAAATAGTACAGTGTGGGAAAAGAGAAATAAAAAGAATAAATTTTAATACAGAAAATTGACAAAACTTACCCCAAGCCAGGTGATCCAGAATAATATCTACACTGATAAGTTATATGGATGGTATGGGCCTTTGGTATGATGTGATGAGAATGACTCTACCTCTGTGGTCTTCACCAAAACACACTACCCCAGTATAGTCACGAGAAAAAAAATCAGAAAAATTCTAATTGAAGCACATTTTTCAAAATGTTGGACTACTATTCTTCAAAACCTCCAAGGTTATCAAAAACAAAGAAAACCTGAGAAACTATCAAAACGAAGAGAAGCCCAAAGAGACATGATTCCTAAATGCAATGTGATATTCTGGACGTGAACACAGAATAGAAAAAGGCATCAGGGGAAACCGGTGGAAGTAAATTGAGAGATAAAATTTTTAAAGTACATGACAAAATGAAGTATTTCACAATATTTAATGGTAAAATGTGGATAAGTAATGGTATAATTTAGGACTGTCTGGGTTTACCAATTTCATATAGCATTAACTCCATTCTGTTCCTAAATAAACATTGAGCACCTCTGACAATCATGGAACTCTTTCTGACACTATGGAGAATCATAAAAATGCATAAGAAATCGTCTGGGGTCAGGTGCAGTGGCTCACACCTGTAATCCCAGCACTTTGGGAGGCCAAAGTGGGTGGATCAACTGAGGTCAGGAGTTCGAGACCAGCCTGGCCAACATGGTGAAACCCCGTCTCTACTAAAAATACCAAAAAAAAAACACACAAAAAAACAAATCAGCCAGCCATGGTGGCAGTCACCTGTAATCCCAGTTACTCGGGAGGCAGAGCCAGGGGAATTGCTTGAACTGAGCCAAGATGGTGCCATTCCACTCCAGCCTTGGCAACAAGAGTAAAAACCCATCTCAAAAAAAAAAAAAAAAAAAAAAGAAAAGGAAAAAAAGAAAAAGAAGAAAAGAAGTAATCTGCTCTAAGAGGCTTACATAATACAGTTTAAAGGCTTTTAAATACAATTTCTATGACATTTATACTTTCTTACAGATCCAGATATTTATGACCCTAATTGAGTCAGTAAATAAGTTGAATCTTTGCCTTGTGGGGTTTACTGTGAATCTGTGTATTTCACTTATAAGGGAGAAACTGCTGATTTCTCAAATACATGATAGCTCAGTGTCAACTGAGCTAACAGAAATATTTTGTTAAAATTTTAAAAAATTATCTGCATTTTCTTACCTGGCTAAAACTAGTTTCACATTTTTCTTTTGGACATTAACTAATTCAGTGTTCAAATACATGGCAGCTCCTGAAAGAGCTGTGAAATTCCAATATTTATCCTTAGCCATAATTCTCAAAGTGATTTATTAGCCTTTGCTTTTGCCTGGAATGTATTCAGTGTCTCATCGTGACAGCTTTTTGGTATCAAATGAGAACCTGGATTACTGGGCAAAAGGATATCCCTCTGCTGTGAAATCTTCCACCCCAGTTTTGCTTTTATTAACAACAGAGCAATACTGAGCTTTTTGTATAATCATCGATGGCTAGCAATTTGTTTCAACGTTTCTAATACAGTGTCTTCACTGATAGAAGAGGGACAATGGCAAATAGGAGCAATATGTATAAATACTTATTAGGTTAATTTAGCAAGAAAGACACTGAAGTATGAAAATGAAAACAGGCAAAAGATCCTTTTAAAAAATTAATTCTCTCCATAGGGAAAACAGATTTAAATTGAAAGCGTTGGAACCAATGTATGCAAAATACTTCAACAAGAACTATATAAATACCAACTGTATACATAACACTTATATGTTCCTTCCTTTTTCTCCTTTTCTTTCCTAGAAATATAAATGCTTAAAAATGTGCTAACTCTGCAGGGCTTCCTTGGAAATGATGCCAGTTAAGACACACTGGTAGGAGAAAAAGGGTTAGAACTAGAGTGGTGGTTCCCCCCAGGAAATCCATTTTTCAGCTTATAGTGTCACTTCAAGGGCAGGTTAATGAGATTGCAGCTTGCAGAATATCCAGAAACTTATCATTTGCCATTTCCAAATAAGATGGCAATTATCAAGCAGCTTTATCTTGTAACATCAACAGCATTTAGGTCCATCTCTAAACACTAGCATTCTAAATTGATCTATACATACAGTGAATAAAAAATTTCAGAAACTGATTCTATTAGCCTGCTGTGTGTTTAGCAGCATGTAACACCTGATTAGTAAAATCATACAAACAGTTTTGTTGCATTCACTGTAGATAAAATCATCAGGAAAATACCTTCTCTCAGGTTGCATATGCTATTCAATTCAACAAATATTTAAGACAATACCATGTGAAATCATGTGAACTGGGCAGTTCGAGTGCTACAAATAGAAATAGCTAAGACCCTGCAAGCTATGGCCCCAGATTTAAGAGAATCGATTAAATGGCTTTTAGTGAGAGAAAAATTGTCTTACATGCAAAATAAGAAAATTGATGCCAGACACGGTGGCTTACACCTGTAATCTCAGCACTTTGGGAGGCTGAGGTGGGTGGATCACCTGAGGTCAGTTCAAGACCAGCCTGGCCATCATGACGAAACTCTGTCTCTACTAAAAATACAAAAATTAGCTGGGCATGGTGGCACACACCTGTAGTCCAGCTACTCCAGAGGCTGAGGCAGGAGAATCACTTGAACCTAGGAGGCAGAGATTGCAGTGAGCCGAGGGCATGCACTTCAGCCTGGGCTACAGAGGGAGATTCCATCCCCCTCCCCTGACTCAGAGAAAAGAAAATTGAAATAATTTGAATGTTAGTACCCTCCAAATTTTACGTTGAAATGTAATCCCCACTGTTGGAGGTGGGGTCTGGTGGGAGGTGTTTGGGTCATAAAGGCAGATAACTTATGAATGGCTTGGTGCCCTCCCCATAGTAATGAGTTACTGTGAGAGCTGGTTGTTCAAAAGAGAATGGCACCTCCTCCCCTCTCTCTTGCTCCCTTTCTCGCCATGAGATGCCTGCTCTCCCTTCACCTTTTGCCATGATTGGAAGCTTCCTGGGGCCCTCACCCAGAGCAGATGCCAGTACTATTCTTCCTGTACAGCCTGCAGAACCATGAGCCAAAATAAACCCATTTTCTTTATAAATTACCCAGCTTCAGGTATTCCTTTATAGCAACACAAAACAGACTAACACAAAATCATGTCTTTGCTATTTCTTCACTATTTTATGAAACCCTCCCCTTAGCTCTCAGATGATATGTTGTCTAACTCCACAAAATACCCAGTGATTGTATTGTCTAAAGCCTTCCATTGCAGAGCTATATCCAAGGCCAACATCACCAAGCTCCAAAGCATCTTCTGTCCCACACTGCTCCTCCTTGCATAGCTGACCAGAGTCACAATCACTAGAAAAAGAACCAGCTACTTTATCCCTCCTTGTAGAATACTTCGGTCAAATCTATCTAAACATGCTTAGCTGTTATACAGAGTAGTTTCCACTGGGCCTTGTAAGAGCAGTGTTGACTGTTTTAGTCCAGGGGTTAATAGCAACATTCTTGCTTAGTCCTTGAGGTAGTGGTTTCGGATAAGCAGGTAGTAGGCTGAGGAAATCTCAGAATGAAGTCCCGTTATCTTTTGAAATCTCTTAGTCAGAGTGATGTCAGCAAGATGGCAGAATAAAAGATTAGCATCACTCTCCCCATAAAAATTTACCTAGAAATTTCAAAGACGACAATATTACCCTGAGTACACCAGAACTCAGGAGAGAAGTGGAGGACCCCTTGGGCCCACAGAATCGAAAGATGTTGTGACTGGTAAGAGAAACGGTCATTTCAGACTGTCACTCTCTTCCCCAGCCAACATAACACCATTCGCAGAGAATTTTTCTAGGCCCACAAGTGCTGAGGTGAACGGACAGAACCAAGAAGCTGGATGGTGCTAAGTCATTCGTGAGAAACCGCCTCCATGATCCAATCACCTCCCACCAGGTCCTACCTGCAACATTAGAGATTACAATTCAACATTAATTTTGGGAGGGGACACAGATTCAAAACGTATCAGACCAATAACAAGTAACGTGATTGAAACAGCACTGAAAAGTCTTCCATCAAAGAAAAGCCCAGACACTGACAGCTTCAGTGTTAAATTCCACCAAACACTTAAAAAATAACTAATACCAATTCTACTCAAAATATTCCAAAAACCGAAGAGAGGGATTACTTCCAAATTTATTCTACGAGGCAAGCATTATCCTGATACCAAGACCAGACAAAGACACACAAAAAGAGAAAACTACAAGCCAATATCCCTGACAAAAACAGATGCAAGAATTCTCAACAAAATACTGGCAAACTGAATTCAACAGCAAATTAAAAAGATCTTCACCATGATCAAATGGGATTCATCCCAGGGATGCAAGGATGGTTCAACATACATATATCAATAAATATGATACATCACATTAACAGAAGCAAGAACAAAAAACATATGATCATTTCAGTAGATGCTGAAGCATTCAATATATTTAATATCCCTTTATGATAAAAACCCTTAACCAACTGGTAGAGAAGGAACAGAGCTCAAAATATAAAGGCCAGATATGTCGAACGCACAGCTAATATTGTGCTGAATGAGAAAAAATTGAAAGGCTTTCCTCTAAGAGCTGGAACAAGACAAGGATGCCCGCTTTTACCACTTTGAGTCAACCTAATATTAAAAGTCCTAGTCAGAGCAATCACATAAGAGAAAGGAAGGGCACCCATATTGGAAAGGAAGAAAAACTATTTTTGTTTGCAGATGCCATGATCTTATACTTAGAAAATGCTACAAACTCTGAAAGAGTTAGAATTGATCAATTCAGTAAAGTTTCAGAATACAAAATCAATATATAAAAATCAGTAGCATTTCTATACACTGACAGTGAACGGTCTGAAAAAAATCAATAAAGCAATTCCATTTACAATAGCTCCAAAAAATATAAAACATTTAAGAGTAATTTTAACTAAAGGAGTGAAGGCTCTCTACAATAAAAATGATAAAACTCCAAAGAAATTGAAGAGGACACAAAAAATGGAAAATATCCCATGCTCATGGACTGGAAGACTTACCATTGTTAAAATGTCCATACTACCAAAGCAATCTACAGATTGATAAAATCCTTATCAAAATACCAATAACATTCTTTGCAGAAATAGAAAAAAAAATTCTAAAATATATGTGAAACCACAAAAGACCCAGAATACCCAAGGCAATTCTGAGCTAAAAGAACAAAGCTGGAGGAATCACACTATCTAACTTCGAAATATACTACAAAGCTATAGTATATTAGCATGATACTGGCATAAAAACAGATACATAGACTAATGGAACAGAATATAGAACCTTGAAATAAACCCACACATTTATAGCCATATCATTTTTGACAAAGGCACCAAGAACATACAGTGGGGAAAGGACAGTCTTGTCAATAAATGGCGCTGGCAAAAAAGGACAGTCTTGTCAATAAATGGCGCTGGCAAAAAGGGATATTCATATGCAGAGGAATGAAACTAAACTGCCATCTTTCACCACACAAAAAAAATCAACTCAAAATGAATTAAAGACTTAAATGTAAGAGCTGAATCTATAACACTTCTAAAATAAAACTGGGGAAATTCTTCAGGACATTGATTTGGGCAAAGGTTTTTTGGCTAAGACCTCAAAAGCACAGACAACCAAAGCAAAAATAGACAAATAGGATAACATCAAGTTAAAAGGTTCTGCATAACAAGGAAAATCAACAGAGTGAACAGACAACCTATGAAATGAGAGAAAATAGTTGTAAGCTATCCATTTGACAAGGGATTAATAGCCAGAATATATAAGGAATTCAAACATAAATAGCAAAACAATTTGATTAAAAATGGGCAAAAGATCTGAATAGATATTTCTCAAAAGAAGACTTACAAATGGCCAACAGGTATATTAAAAAATGATCAGCATCAGTAATCACAAGGGAAATGCAAATCAAAATCACAATGAAATATCATCTCATTCCATTTAGAATGTCTATTCTCGAAAAGGCAAAAATAGAACACATTCTGGTGAGAATGTGGAGAAAGTGGAATGCCAGTATACCGTTGGGAATATAAGTTAATATAGCCACTATAGAAAACAGTATGGAAGATTCTCAAAACACTAAAAATTGAACTGCTCTATGATCCATCAATCTCACTACTGGGTATATATCCAAAAGAAAGGAAATTAGTATACTGAAGAGATATCTGCACTCATATGTTTATTGCAGCACTATTCACAGTAGCCAAGATATGAAATCAACCTAAGTGTCTATCAGCAGATGAATGGATACAGAAAATGTAGTGTATGTACACAATGGAATATTATTCAGCCGTAAAAAAGAATGAAGTCCTGTCACTTATAGCAACATGGATGGAATTGGAGGTCATTATGTTAAGTGAAATATACCAGGCACAGTAAGATATATATTACATGTTCTAACTCATATGTGGGAGCTAAAAAAATTGATTTTATAGAGGTGGAGAGTAGAATGGCATTACCAGAGGCAGGGACAGGTAGGGAAAAGTGAGAGATGAAGAGAGGTTGGTTAATAGGTATAGAAATACAGTTGGAAGGAATAAATTTTAGTATTCAATAGCACAGTAGGATGATTATAACAATAATTTATTGTGTATTCCAAAATAACTAGAAGATTTGAAATGTTAACAACACAAAGAAATAATAAATGTTTAAGGTGATGGATATCCCAATTACCCTGATTCAATCATTACACATTGTATGCATGTATCAAAATATTACGTGTACTCCATAAACATGTACAGTTACTATGCATTAGTTAAAAATTGGAAAAAAGAAATCTCTTAGTCATATTAAGATGCTAGTCACACTTCTGACAAATGGATAGTTTTTGTAAATCTTGTCTTGCTCCATACTTTCCAGAGTCGGCAGTCAAGAAATATTTGTTGAATGAATAGATGCATGCATGAATGAATACAACTAGCAACTTGACTACCTCTAGGAGCTGCAATAATAGAGTCTTTGTTGTTACCCTCTCATGCATTCTAGGCTGATTTGAAGAAAGAGCATTATATTTCCTATGGAAGTTTATACTGGAGATGAAGCTAAATGATTGAATGCCATTCAGGAAAGTGGGTTACAATTGTTACTACATTAAATCAACAAATATTTGATGAGTACTTACTACGCACAGCCACTTTCCAGGTATTGGAGAAGGAATGCTGAAGAAGATAGACAGGGGCCTGGCTTCCTGGAGCTTACATAGAGTCTTATGCAGGCAAAGTAGACAACAAACAAAAACTTAAGCAAGATATTTCTATTTTAATGTGTGCTATACTGTCAAAAGTGGGATATGATGGAATGGCATGTACCTGGGGAAAAAAGTGCCCTACTTTACTTGAGTTCTAATGGGAAACCTTTCTGTATACTTGAGCTGAGTTTGAGCTGAGTCATTGAGGAAAAGATGAAAGAAGCTTCATAAAGAACAGAACCCTCGCCAAGCAGAGGCTTCGGCAAGTGCAAAGGCCATAGGTAATAAAGAGTTTATCTTAAGGAGAGAAAAGGAGGCCAATGAGGCTCTAAAGGCGGGGTTGGCAAACTTGTTCTAAAGGCCTTGATGGTAATATTTTAGGCTTTGCAGACAATATGTTCTCTGTTGGAACTATTCAAGTCTGTTACTGTAGTATAATAACAGGCACAGATGATACATAAAGGAATGAATGTCGGTATGTTCCAATAAAACTTCATCTGCAAAAACAAATGATAGGGTGGATTTGGCCCATGGGCTGTATGTAGTTTGCTAACATTTGCTCTAGAGTAGAGAGCAGAAGAGAAAGTGTTAAATATTGAAATTGGAAAACAGGGCAGGGTCCAGACTCTGCAGGGTCTTAGGGGATGGGAAGGAGTTGAAATTTTAATCTCAGTGCAATGTAAAGCCATTGAAAACTCCCATTAATTAAGGGAGTGGCTTGATCTAAAATAGTTTTAAAAATATTATTCTGGAGGCTATGTGGGGAAGGGGTCATAAAACCCGTAAGTGTAGAAAGAGGTAGGGAGGCTAGGGATGATAATGCTTGGCCTGGAGGAGGCAGTAGAGGAATGGTGTGAATGAATTACCAGGTCTTCTGGCCAGGCATGTTGGCTCACGCCTGTAATCCTAGCACTTTGGGAGGCCAAGGCGGGCGGATCACTTGAGGTCAGGAGTTCAAGACCAGCCTGGACAACAGGGTAAAAACCTCACCTCTACTAAAAGTACACAAATTAACAGGACTTGGTGTTGGGCACCTGTCCAACACCAATTCCAGCTACTGGGGAGGCTAAGGCACGAGAATCATTTGAACCCAGGAGGCAGAGGTTGCAGTGAGCCAAGATTACACCATTGCACTCCAGCCTGGGCAACAGAGAGAGTATGCCAAGGTAGCAAGAATGAGTTCCAGATTTCTGGCTGGAACTAGATTTCTGGGTGATGATAGTGCTATTATCAAGATGTGGAAGATGGAGGAAGAAAAAAAGTTAGGTTTCAGCGAGTTTTAATTTCTTAATTAAATTAAGATCTACAAGACATCCTGTGTCACTCTTCAGAATGCCTGAATCACTACAAATAAAAATAAAGCATTTTTAAAGAAGCAGGTGAAAGAGCAAAGCAAGCCTCATATCCAGTCATTCACACAAGAATGGCTGGGAGGGAGTGTACTTAAGCCCCTCTCAGCAGATCACGATATAATATATAGAGATACCAGGCCGTGAAGCTACACAATCAAATGCAACTCAGGACTTTTGTTAAGGTGGCCACAACTATCACTTCCTTTGTCAAAATAGAAGAACTCCTTCCGCATAGGAAGCTGCATACTCTACCTCTTATCTCTGTTTCTGCACTGTCAGTAAGCAAAATGGTAGAGCAGTGAAAGGGGACTGATTGCAGGCAGATAAAAATAACTGGTGTAGAAAGACACAGGATGTTAGTTGTGACCAGCAAATGATGCTGCAAATGTGCTGCTACACATATTTCTCTGTTGGGCTTTGACCACATCCTAAAACACAACTCAACATGTCAATACGTCAGAGCTAGTTTGCTTGGTGGAGTAATCTAATCATAGGCATAAGAAAAAAAGTAACTATATTTTACTGTTTTGACTTAATTCAACTTAAACCGGATACTCCTAGGAACACTACTTCAGAAAGCAATCACAGAAATAGGGAATGAGTTAGTGGACTGTGAGTTAGAACACAAGCGAAATAATGTTTCCCAATCTATTCTGTATTAGTAGGTAAAGTTTTAACAGGTGATTTTTGGTCAAATATATTTAAGATAAAATTTAAGAAGCATATTTTTCTGAAGCATAAACTTGAAATAGTCATGTTTATGACAGAACATCTAAATGCTAATCTTTAACACCATTAAGGCTAATGTGCAACATGAAACCCCAGAAGGAGGGTATAGTATTTGATGTTTTCAAATTTATTAAAAATACACCACAATTTGGTAAACACATGCACCCATCATACATATCAACTATATATTTTAACAAAATCCTCAATAGAGTTACCATCCCATTTTATAATTCTAGGATCTGTTTGGATTATGCTTTGCTGCAAGTAACAGAATAATCCATTTTAGCTACTTAAACAATTATGGATTATTTTTCTTTAAAAAGCAAGAAACCCAGAGATAGATTTATGGCTTTTCAGCAGCTCAGCAACGTCAGAACACACTCAGAAGTTTTCCTGACCTCCTCCTCTTGGTTATAAGAAGGCTGCTGCAGCTAAAAGCACTGTAGCTGTGTTCAAGAAAGAGGAAGGTGTATTAGGAGAGGTCAGGGGATGTCAGCTTTATCTGTACCTTTTAACAATAAAACAAGGCCGGGCACGGTGGCTCACTCCTGTAATCCCAGCACTTTGGGAGGCTGAGGTGCGCGGATCATGAGGTCAGGAGATCAAGACCATCCTGGCTAACATGGTGAAACCCCGTCTCTACTAAAAATACAAAAAATTAGCCTGGCGTGGTGGCGGGCGCCTGTAGTCCCAGCTACTCCGGAGGCTGAGGCAGGAGAATTGCTTTAACCCGGGAGGCAGACGTTGCAGTGAGCTGAGATCGCACCACTGCACTCCAGCCTGGGCGACAGAGAGAGACTCATCTCAAAAAAATAAACAAATAAATTTTAAACAATGAATAAAACAAAATATTTTTCATAATCCCTATAGCAAACACTTCCTTGGGTCTTATTATCTGGAATCAGGCTACATGATCTACTACATCTAACAACTGTGAAGGATGGGAGGGCAGCGGGAGGCTTCAGAAAATCAGTGAATAGGCAGAGCGTGGTGGCTCATGCCTGTAATCCCAGCACTTTGGGAGGCCGAGGCGGGCGGATCATGAGGTCAGGAGAATGAGACCATCCTGGCCAACGTGTTGAAACCCCATCTCTACTAAAAATACAAAAATTAGCTGGTCGTGGTGGCACGCACCTGTAATCCCAGCTACTTGGGAGGCTGAGGCAGGAGAATCGCTTGAACCAGGGAGTCAGAGGTTCCAGTGAGCCAAGATCGCGCCACTGCACTCCAGACTGGCAACAGAGTAAGACTCCATCTCAAAAAAAATAAAAAGAAAGAAAAGAAAATCAGTGACTAGGTTTCTCATAATTGGTTTAGGTGCCTATGTTCCCCTATGTGGGTTGGGCACATTCATTGTTTCAAACAAATGAGACCACAGGGAGAAGTTGAATTTTGACTAGGCAACTAATAGCATCTGCTATACAGGCTCTGTTGTAAGACAAATTTAGTGTACCTCATTCGTTATTTTCAAATTGTAATGAACACTGTAATGTACCACCCAGATCCCCCTTCAGGAATAAAGTGCTGATTACCCAGCTGCTGGGAGGGTTTCTTGAAGACTAGCCTCAAGCTATCAGCTCCCTTCAGGTATTGCCTCAACTGAAGAGAATCACCTTACCAAGGACATACCCTCATCACTGGGCCACTTGCATCATCATGGGCCTACAGGAACCTGACCCCTCCCCTCCCTGAATCTGAATCTCTAATAACTATAGATAGCAGAGATAGGCATTTTTGTTACCACATAAATCATTCAGGACTACATACCGATTGTATTCAATAAAAGATTCAAATAACATAGAATTTTACAAAGTAAAATCTTTTTCACAGAAACCTTTCTTCTCTTGTTTTTAATTACGAATTAAATTACTTATTTTGATAGATCTATTCCATTTTTCTATTACTTCTGAATCATTTTTGTAATTTGTGTTTTTCTAGGAATTTATCTATTTCATCTAAGTGTTAAGTTTGTAGGAAGAAAGTTGTTCATAATATTTCCTTATAATTCTTTTAATTCTTATTTGGTTTGTACTTAATGTTTATTAATGTTGTGGATCTTTACAAAAAAACAGCTTTGGGTTCCATCCATTTTTTTCTGTTGTGTTTCTGTTCCTATTTCATTGTTTTTTGCTTTGATCTTTATTGAATTTTCTTCTGTCTACTTTGTGTTTTACTTTTTCCTTCTTGCTTCTCAAGGTGAAAGATATGATGGAGACTTTTCTTCCTTTATTATAGAAGCATTTCATGCGATGAATTTACCTCTAAACATTGCTTAGCTGCATACCATAAATTTTGATATGTTGTATTTTTATTTTCTTTTGAAGTGTTTTACAAGTTCTCTTTTGATTTCTTCCTTGACTAATCTGTTATTTAGACGTCTGTCATTTAATTGCAAAATATTTGGAGATTTTCCAATTATCTTTCTATTGTGGATTTCTAATTTAATTCTATTATTATAAAAAGGACTTATTTCAATGCTTTTTATTTTTTGAGACTTGCTTTATGGATTTTCATACAGTCTATGCTGAAGATTCATGTGTGCTTGAAAATAATTTGTATTTTGCTGTTCCTATGAGGAATACTCTTTTATTTATTTATTTTTTTTGAGATGGAGTCTCACTCTGTCACTAGGCTGCAGGCTGGAGTGCAGTGGCTCAATCTCGGCTCACTGCAACCTCTACCTCCTGGGTTCAAGCGATTCCCCTGCCTCAGCCTCCTGAGTAGCTAGGACTACAGGCACATGCCACCATGCCCTGCTAATTTTTGTATTTTTAGTAGATGCGGGGTTTCACCATGTTGGCCAGGATGGTCTCGATCTCCTGACCTCATGATCTGCCCACCTCAGCCTCCCAAAGTGCTGGGATTACAGATGTGAGCCACCGCGCCCAGAGAGAATACTCTTTAAATGTCAATTAGGTCTTATAAGTTAGTAGTGCTGTTCAAGTCTTCTATATCCTTACTGGTTTTCACTCTAGTTTTATCATCAGTTAATGTGAAAGGAATGGCTAAATCTCCAACTATAGTTTCTATTTCTTTTTAAATTCTGTCACATTTTACTTTATTTGTTTTGGGGGCTCTGTTGTTATGAGCCTATATATTTATAATTGTTATATATTTCTGATGTATTGACCGTTTTATCATTAGAAAATGTTATTAACAAGATAATGTCTAGTAAAATTCTTCATCTTCAAGTCGATTTTATCTCATATTAATATAACCATTTCAACTCTGTTATTGTTATGGTATGCATGCATCTCTTTCTTCATTTTTTACCCTTCCCTATTCATTCCTTTGAATTTAAAGTGCATCTTTTACAGACAAATAGGAAGATCTTGGTTTTTAATCCATTCTACCTACGCCTTTTGATTGGGTGTCCAGTCTATTCACATTTAATGTGTCATTAATTGTATCAGTCCATTATCACACTGCTATAAAGATACGACATGAGACAGAGTAATTTGTAAACAAAAGAGGTTTAATTGATTCACAGTTTGGCATGGCTGGAGAGGGCTCAGGAAACTTAACAATCATAGTGGAAGGCAAAGGAGAAGCAGGTACCTTCTTCACAAGGCAGCAGGAGAGCAAGTGAAGAGGAAGTGTACACTTTTAAATCATTAGATCTCATGAGAATTCCCTCACCATCATGAGAATAGAATAGGGGAAACCCCCTCCATAATCCAATCATCTCCCACCAGGTCCTTCCCTCCACATGTGGGGATTACAATCTGAGATGAGATTTAGGTAGGGACACAGAGCCAAACTATATCATTAAAATATAGTCATTTTCCATATAATGACATTCTGGTCAAGGACGGACTGCATATATGACAGTAGTCCTATAAGATAATAATACCATGTTTTTAATGTAACTCTACCGTGTTTAGATATGTTTAGATACACAAAATACCATTGTGTTACATTTGCCTACAGTATTCAGTACAGTGACATGCTATATAGGTTTGTAGCCTAGGAGCAATAGGCTATATACAACATAGCCTAGGTGTGTAGTAGGCTGTATCATTGAGGTTTGTGTAAGTACACTATGATATTTGCACAACAAAATCGCCTAATGACGTATTTCTCAGATGTATCCCTGTCGTTAAGTGACATATGACTGTAGTTAAAATTATCTGCCCTTTTGCTATTTGTTTTCTATACATCTAATGTCTTTTTTGTTCCTCTATTCTTTCATTACTGTCTTCTTTGGTATTTTTGAATATCATTTTTAACTCCTCTCTTGATATTTTGGCTGTATTTTTTTGAGACAGGATCTCTTTCTGTCACCCAGCCTTGAGTGCAGTGGTGTGTTCCCAGCTCGCTGTACCCTTGAACTCCTGGATTCAAGGGATCCTCCCCGCTCAGCCTCTGGAGTAGCTGGGGCTGCAGGTGTGTGCCACCATGCCTGACTTGACTGTCTTTCTTTTAATGATTTTTAAAAATTAGTTGCTCTAGAGATTGTAGTATTTATCTTTAACTTTCACAATTCATTTAAAATTAGTACTGACTTAACTCTAGTAAAATACAGCAAATTTGCACCAGTGAAGCTCCATTTTATCTTTCCCCATTCCTTTGTGTTATTAATGTCATACACATAAAATCATCACAAATAAACTGAACAAACTGTGTTACAATTATTACTTTAAACAATGTTCTGATTTTAAAGAAATTAAGAAAGGATAAGAAAAGGTATATGTACACACATACAATCTTTTCATCTACTCAAATATTTCTTGTGATCTACATTTCTTCCTATGGATCCGAGTTACTGTCTGTGTCTTTTCTATCAGCCCAAAGAACTTTCCTTGTTGTTCCCTGTAGGTAAAGTCAGCTAGCAGTGAATTCTCTCGATTTTTGTTGTGTCTAGGTATGTTTCCCTCTGTGAGTGTATTTGTTGGTGTTCATTGAGTTCCTTGGGTCTGGATGTAGATGTTTTTCATCAAAATGGAAAGTTTTCAGCCATTATATTTTCCAATGATTTTCTGTCACTTTCTCTCCCCTCCTTTTATAATCCCCAATAAACGTGTGCTGGAATTCTTGAAACTGTCTGGTAGATCTCTGGGATTCTATTCCTTTTTTTTCAATCCTTTTTTTCCTTGAGCTTTGGATTGCACAGTTTCTATTAATCTATCTTCTAAATTACTGAGTCTTCTGTGAACTGAATTCTGCTGTTGAGTTCACCTAGTGAATTTTTAAAATCTTAATTATTATACGTTTCAATTCTAAAATTTCAGTTTGGTGCTTATGTGTGGTTTCTATTTTTATGCTGAAATTTCCATGAATTAACTCATTGATTGGTTATTTCCTTTCAATTCCTTGAATATATTTCGTTTAATTCTTTCAACAAATTTGTAAATTTGCTTTGAAGTCTTTGCCTGATAAATTCAACATTTGGGCTCCTCAGAGTCAGTTTCTATGGTCTGTTTTTTTCCTTTTTTTTTTTTTCCTGAGTATGGGTCATACTCTTCTATTTCTTTGCATATCTTGTAATGTATATGTGAAAATTAAAATTTTAAATAATAGATTGTTACACTTTTGCAATTTTATTTTTCAAAGGTGCACTGGTTTGTGTGTGTGTGTGCATATGTGTGTGTTTGTTTTAGTAACTTGCTTCAACTTAAAACTACATAATTTCTTTTCCCTACAAAGTGAGGCCAACAGTGCTTCCACTGAGAATTTTTAAACTTATTTCTTAGTCTTGCTTCATTGAGGCAACCCCTGTGTCTGTATAGTTTAGTGGTCAGCAGACACCTCATTTCCCCAAGCCTTCCCCATCCATTGTCTTCTGAGCTATGTGTGGACTGAAATAAAACATTCAAAGTTGTGGCCAGCTTTCATGTCTGCCATGGCTTTCTTTCTTCCATGGGCCTTCTTGGGTTTCTTCCACAACATGCATAGTTTAGCAGATAGACAGGGATGTGTGGATAGCTTACCTAAGGCCTGCTAAGTCTCTTACCATTAAATTTGTGTCCGGTGAGCCTTTCCTCCAAAACCAGATCTGCAACTTTGAACTAGCAAAATTATGGTCTTTGACCATTCATTCCTAATGGAGACTGCCACTTTTAGCCAATAATATATGGGTTTTCACGTGTTACTCTTGCCTGACTCCAAATCAGGGATGCCACCCTACCAAGCAATGTAGGATAAAGGACAAAGTAGGAGAGAGAGGATGTGAGCCGCCCAGGCTAGAAGGTCTTGTACTACTGCATTCTTACCTGAAACTGCAGCAATATTCCAAGAATAAACATTTTACAATTTGTTGTTTGCCTTTGATCAATTTCCAGATAGTTGTTTAAGATATTTCCCCCCAGTTTTATACTTGTTTTCTGCAAAAGGAAATTCTATAATCTATTCATGCCACTATTACCAGAAGATCATTCTCCTTCTATTTGACTTATATATGAAATTATATGTATAATATAATTTTGATTAAAAATGTAGAATATTTGAAGATTATTTCTTTAACATGATAATAGTGATATCTTTTCTACATACCTGTTGTCTCTATAATTAAATGTTTGTCCAAATATACATCTATACTGAACCTCTGCCTTGAGCCAAATTGGCATTATGTTCAGTATCGAAACACTAAAAAGATTCCCAATAGTGAAGAGTTGTCACATTTTAATGAGTAGATCCTTACTATAATATTTTCTCAATTTCATGAGAATTTTCCTGTTTACATGTCTTCTTATGGGGTCAGTTTTGATTATTTATATTTTTCTAAGAAATCTTATCTATCAACTAGGTCTTCAAATATATTTGCCTGGAGTTAAACAATGTACACTTATAATCCCGTCAGTTTCCTTTCTACGTTATTTTCCCATTCTCATTTCTTGTATTGCATATCTGTACTTTCTCCATTGTAACTATACTTGAGTAGCCAATAATTTATCTATTTCAATGCTGAGGTCTCAAAAATTAGGTCTTTAGATCTATTTATTAGTAGGAATTTTTTATTGTTTTCTAATTTATTATTGCTTTTATCTTGACCAATTAATATATTAATTTTCTTTAGATTTTATAGATCTATAACTTATTGAGTTGGGTGCTAGATTTGCTGATTTAATTGTCTTTTAATTATTAACAGTTGGCTGGGAGTGGTCGCTCACAACGGTAATACCTGCACTTGGGGAGGCTGAGGCAGGATGATCACTTGAAGACAAGAGCTTGAGAACAGACTGGGCGACATAATGAAACCCTGTCTCAAAAAAATATAAATAAAAATAAAGTAAGTTAATAGCTTAACATTGTAACTTTTCTTTTGAACTGTAGTTAAACCACAGCACATAAATTGATAGCACAAAGTTGTTGCATATACCCTTTATCCAAATACACCAATCATTAGCATTTTCACCCCTTTGCTTTGGGATGAATATATCATTTGCTCTCTCTTCCTCCTTCTTTCTTTGCACGTATTTTGAAGTTGATTGTAAATTTCAGAAATTGTACTCCTTAATCTCTCAATCCTTAGTATATATTTCCTAAGATCAAATACTTTTTATTTCATAACCATTATACTATTATCAAAATAAGAAAATTTAACATTGATATAACATTGTTATCTACTTGTCTGTATTAAAAGTTGGGCAAGTGTCCCAATAATGTTCTATATAGCTATTTTTCCCCACAGCCCAGGATCCAATGTAAGATTATGCTTTACCTTTACTTGTTGTGTCTCCTTAGTTCGCTTTAATCTGGAACATTTAATCATTCTTGATCTTGATGTTTTTGAGGGATGTGAGTCAGTTATTTTTGTATTATGCCTTTCAGTTTGGACATGTCTGATACTTCGTGATTGCTTAAAGTTTGGCAATTTTCACAAGAATACCAGAAAAATACTCGCCAATGCACTGTATCAGGAGATGAGTGATTTTGGTTTGCCCCATTATTGGTAACACTAACTTTGATACTTAGTTAAGGTTACATCAGTTAGATTTCTCTAGCATGAAGTTAATGGATTTTTTAATTAATAAATAATTTGTAGGAAGACATTTTGATACTAGATAAATATCTCTTTGCTTATTAATTATTCACATATTACTTTAGCATCTAATGACAATCTTTTTCTGGATCAGTTACTAATTTGATAGTTGTAAAATGGTAGATTTTCTAACTCTAGCATTCCTTTTTCAATTTTTAGTTGGCATTCCATTCTAAGAAATAATTTTCTCTTTTCATTTATTCAGTTGTTTGTTAGTTGGTTTACCGAAACGGACTCATTGATTTTTTTTTTCTTAGCATTTTAAAAGTGAGATTTATTGAGGTATACTTTAGAGACAGTAAAAATTCACCTTTTAAAATTTTCCCCCAAAAGTTTCCTTGTGTTCTTTTGTAGTCAATCTCTATCCCCCAAACTTACTGATCTCATTTCTGTTCTAATTTAATTTCAATTTCTGATTGTTTGTTGACAGTATTACAAATAAAATCAGTATTTTTGTATATTATTATTGTATCCTGACACTATGCTATACCTGGCAATTAGTTCTAGCAGGTATTTTTTAGGTTCCCTAGAATCATGTCATCTGTAAGCCGGTTTTTCTTCATTTCTAATTCATATGCATTTAATTTCTTTACTTATTGATTAGGCTAGAACTTCCAGTACAATACTGAATTAAAGTGGTGAGGGTGAATATTCTTGCCTTGTACCTATTTTAGGGGGAAAACATTTGGTATTTCACAATTAAAGATGATGTGAGTAATATCCAGAATCTACAATGAACTCAAAGAAATTTACAAGAAAAAAACAAACAAGGGCGAAGGATATGAACAGGCACTTCTCAAAAGAAGACATTTATGCAGCCAAAAAACACATGAAAAAATGCTCATCATCACTGGCCATCAGAGAAATGCAAATCAAAACCACAATGAGATACCATCTCGCACCAGTTAGAATGGCAATCGTTAAAAAGTCAGGAAACAACAGGTGCTGGAGAGGATGTGGAGAAATAGGAACACTTTTACACTGTTGGTGGGACTGTAAACTAGTTCAACCACTGTGGAAGTCAGTGTGGCGATTCCTTAGGGATCTAGAACTAGAAATACCATTTGACCCAGCCATCCCATTACTAGGTATATACCCAAAGGATTATAAATCATGCTGCTATAAAGATACATGCACACGTATGTTTATAGCGGCACTATTCACAATAGCAAAGACTTGGAATCAACCTAAATGTCCAACAACGATAGACTGGATTAAGAAAATGTGGCACATATACACCATGGAATACTATGCAGCCATAGAAAAATGAAGAGTGCATGTCCTTTGTAGGGACATGGATGAAACTGGAAACCATCATTCTCAGCAAACTATCGCAAGGACAAAAAACCAAACACTGCATGTTCTCACTCATAGGTGAGAATTGAACAATGAGAACACATGGACACAGGAAGGGGAACATCACACACCAGGGCCTGTCATGGGGTGGGCGGAGCGGGGAGGGATAGCATTAGGAGATATACCTATTGCTAAATGACAAGTTAATGGGTACAGCACACCAACATGGCACATGTATACATATGTAACAAACCTGCACGTTGTGCACATGTACCCTAAAACTTAAAGTATAATAATAATAAAATTAAAAAATAAATAAATAAATAAATAATAAAATAAAAAAAGAAGTTAAGAGCTGGGGTTCTCACAATATGGCTTGCAGACTACAAGTGTGAACTGAGGAGGTCCCCAAAGTCACTTCTTACTAAGGTAATATTTTGTTTGTTTTTTTTAGAGAGAGGGTGTTGCTCTGTCACCCAGGCTGGAGTGCAGTGTTGCAATCATAGCTCACTGCAGCCTCCACCTCTTTGGTACTAGCCATCCTCCCACCTCAGCCTCCCCAGTAGCTAAGAGTATAGGTGTACACAAAGTAATGCTTGATTAAATGTTTTATTGCCTTTTTATTCTAAAAGCTATACTTGATCAATATAGAAAATATAAAATAATAAAAACTACAGAAGAAATTTATCAACAATTACCAACTAAAAATAATCACTTAGACATTTCATCACTCTTGCAATATTTCCATTAATAGTTATTTATCTAGTGGATGGAATATTTTCCATGCTATTTCCTCATTAGTCATGTCTAATATAAAAGGAAGTTCTTGAAATCCATCTTATATATCGATCCTTTGATTATTTTTTAATAATTTTAATTAAATCATTTGCACTTTCGAAGCAAATTATCTTTTTCTGAAAATTATTTTCTGTCTATTGTATACAACATTTCTGTTTCATATCTTATGCATTGGTTGTAAATTCTAGAACAATGTCAAATAAAAATTGTAATACATGACAAAAAAAAGATGATGTGAGTTGTAGGGTTTTTTTTGTAAATACTCTGAATTATATTGAGGAAGTCTCTATTCCTAGTTTTCTCAGAGTTTAATTTTTATTTAGTCAGGAACACATACTGGGATTTTGCCAAATCATTTTCCTACTATTAAGATGATTACATGTTTTTTGTTTGTTCATTTTTAGTCTGCTAATCTTGTAACTTACATTGATTGATTTTCTAATATTGGACCACCTTTTTATTCCTGGGATAAACCTCACTCAGTCACTATATATTATCCTTTTATTGCATTGGTAGATTTGACTTGCCAAAATTTTGTTCAAAATTTTTGCTATCTGTGTTTATGAGGAAAAATTTGTCTGTAGCTATCTCGTCTTGTAATGCCTTTATCTGATTTTGTTATCATGGTAATACGGACAACATTAGCATCTAGCACTTACTGAGCATTTCACAGGTACCAGACACTGTTCTAAGTAATTTACATATATTCAAAAACTTTCATTTTGACATAATTCAGAGTTTTCAAAACAATTGCAAGAATAGTACAAAATATTCTCATAAACCTTTAATTTAGATTCATCAAATACTAACCATTTACAATATTGACCTTATTGTTTTTTCATTCTCTCTGTCTCTGAGTCTTCTTACTTTAAAAATTCAAACACTGGGAAATTTTTGTATATAGTTTTCATTATTATATCCCTTCTACCAGAATTTTTGTACAATCTATGGACAAATTTTATTCTTAGCTTTGTTCTACTATGCAGAACCAACTGAATGTTAATTAAGACATCTCAGGTATTCTTCTAAGATCAGTAAAATTGTCCTGATGAATCTAGTTCAATATATAAAAATAAGTTGCTCTTATTTACTCTTCTGTGCTCTGGAAAATGAGTGTACCTATAACATTTTGAATTCCATGTTAGGCAGAACAGATGGTAATTATCTAAACTTACGCTCATTCTCTGCACATCTTACTCACATGTTTATCACTCCAAGTCCACTCTCTCTTCTTCTTTACCCACCTTTGAGCCTTGCAAGGACAACTTCTATGGACTGCATCATCAAGGCTGCCTTTTCCTCTGACTGTTGGGTTTGGCCAATGAGGAAAATGGGTGGAAGAATGGAAGGCAGAGGAGGGCAAAACTGAGATTTTTTTTTTTCTCACAGTTCTCTTGCCAGGTTGTAACATGGCAATGGCTGGTTTTTGTTGTTGTTGTTTCACTTTTGTTTTTGTTTTTGTTTTTCTGAAAACCATAGCTCCTGTCAGCAGCTCTTCCATAGCTACTTACTGGTTTCCAGTTACTGATAACTCCTTCAAGACTTTCAAGCCCAGGGGTGGTCATTGGCTCCCTCTATTGTTAACCCAGAGGTGCTTCACTTTCCCTTGTGCTTCCTGCTAGCCCTGCCTGCACCGTTGTACATGTATTCTCTTCATTTAACTCATTCTACCACCCCCTTGACTGTTAGTGTCTGTTGCCGGCCAGAACCCTGACTGGTGCCTCACTTCTTAGTGTTCCTGCTTCCACTCAATGCTCCTATTCCCTGGGGTCCTTCAACTAAAATTTCCCTTCTCCTAAAAATAGTTTAGCACCAAGTCTCTTATTTTAATCAAAATTAATCTATCACATATCTCATTTGGTAGAGGACTCACTAGAGCTAAACTCATTGTGTAAGCTATTCTGAGGATGCTAATTGTGTCCTAGGGCATTTGAGTTGTAAGGACTCATTCTTTTTTAATCTTAAGAAAACTATCTCCAACGATAAAAATTGACATTCAGTTGTTACAGTTGATATTATCATGGTGTCCTCAAGTAAGCCAGTCCCTAAATGTCAGAGGAGGCCAGAAGGTAAGAGCCAGTTCAACAGGAAGAAAAAGTTGCCTGATCCCATGTTTTCTAAAACATATGCTTTATAACAGTAATCTTGTAAAATGCTTTAAAAATAAAGGATATTTTTAGTGTTTAATTTTTAAGACTTCTTGTTCTGTAAGGCATGATACTTGTAATAAAAAGAGAAAAATCTGATGCTAAGTCTATGCATTGTTCTATTGCTTTTAATTTGCTTTTACCTTTTTTGTCTGAATAGTCATGCTTTCTGGAGGACCTTATAGTCTAAACTCAATGAAAATATAAATACTAATATAGCCTAATCAGAATCAATTGCAACCTCATAATCAATTTTGAATAATTTCACTGTTGAAAATAGCATAATTGATAGCCCAGGTGGCCCCTCCACTCCTTTCTCTCATCAAGCTGTTTGCTTACTTTGTACTAGCTTCAGTATGACTAAACAGCAATTCACCAGAATAAATAAAAATTACAGAGAAGTAAGTAGTGTTTCAATAAAACAAATATTATAAAGAGCCTTTAAAATAAGGGCACAGCTTTTATTCCAATTATAACACTAGTGCATGTTATTGTAAGTAATTTAAACAATAGCTAAATACATTTGTAAATACAATATCTATTCAACAGCTTGGAAACCCTCTCTCTCTCTCTCTCTCTCTCTCTCTCTCTCTCTCTCTCTCTATATATATATATATATATATATATGAATATATATGTGTATATATATATCTATATATGTATACATATATACATATATACACACACACGCAGATATAAGAAAATACATTATAGTGATGAAAATTAATTATAAAAATGATAGATGATCATCAAAAAAGAAGTTTGAAAAACTGGGCCTCTTTCTACACTCTGACCCATTTTTCTGAAACTCTGAATGGCAGCTGCCATTTTGACATGTTTTTCATTTTCTTTTGGCAACAAAACATCAATTTTGTTGGCCTTAATATTTTTATTTCTTGGCAGGTGCCCATCAAAACCTCCCCCCAAAATTTCCTACAACATCTCTAACTGCTTTAAGCTTGTCGAGACATTTCTGCTTAGTCTAGCTTTCTTTGAAATTCCATTTTGATAACCCATCTCATTAAAAAGTACTACAGAGGCCTCATGTTTATTTATGATTTAAACATGGCTCATGAAGCCATCATTCAAATCTCTGAATGCACTTTCTAATATATTTTATAACAAATAAATATCCATATGCTTTTTTATATTCTGATAATGTTTCCATGTGCTCAGCCATCTATATTTAATGAAAAGCTATTTTTTTTTTCCTGGCAAATTTCAAACATCTATGGAGCTAACTAATGTGCAGGCACGGACTTCCTGTGTGACCTTGGACAATCTTGTTACATCTCCGTAGATTATTTAAATCTATGGAATGGAACATTGTAATGAAGATCACTTTTCAAAAATATTGTAATAATTAGAAACTGTGAAGTGGTTCAGATTTATTAGCCTAAGTTTTTACCATTTAGAGATGTCAATCATGCATAGGAGGTACATTAACCCTTTTAAGCCATAAGGTAATCACTCAACAGGTACTTCAGGCTCTTTCTGAAGCAGGACATATCCTTCCTAATGTCTCTTCTGCTCTTGCCTTCCCCAGCTTCCTGCAGCTGTATGGGTAAAGTCATACCCTTGAGGCAGGGAAGCCCTTAGACAGCTGCTCTCCCAACAGGTGGGTTTGCTTTGGGTCTCTCTTCCTGTTGGGCTGCTCTGAGAGATACTTCTGAGCAAACCACAGAGTTCCTGCATTTTTGCCTGAGTCATTCTTGCTGAGTTGACCTTCTCTCCATTCACAGCCAATAATAATTAAACACCGTTTTTTCTGGAATTGCACTTTATGGATCAGCTGGGATGAAAGCATCTTCCTTCCTTCTTTCCCCATCCTCTGCGATAATTTTGTTCTAACAAAGGAATGCTAGCACCAAAATTTCCAGTCCTGAAACCCTTTCTCTTTCCAATGTCCTCTGTAAGCTCGAGTTGTGGGCATCTACTTTGCCCATATTCCAAGGTCTTGCTTAGGTAACCTCTGTAGTCCTTTCTTGAGCCTAGGACTTCTACTTTTCTTACCAGTTACCCTCTTTCAGGACCAAAGCTCAACTCCTCAAGGCCATAACTAGGCCCTCTCCTCTCAAACTGATTTATCAGGTGCCCGAATCTTCCTGAATGTCTGGGATTCAACTTTTCAGCAGTCTTCCTCCCTACGTTCCATCTAATTCTAAGATGAAACCTTCTGATTCTTTGTTGTCCTCTGATCCCTACATGAACCTGAGGCTGCTGTTCCCTGAAGTCTTGTTCTGTCAGCATCCAGGCCTGCTTCATAAAACCTGTCACTCTGCTAATGGTTAGCGGCTGAACAAAGAGTCCTCTGGCCAAATAAGTTTAGAAAAACTCTGATAAAAATATTATTTGGGTTTCCTTTTCGCAGGACTTACCTAAGCCTTTAATATGCATCTACGGAGGTAAAAATAAAGCTATATATTTTTTCCAAAGATATTTGTTGAAGAAACATTTGTCTTCTGCGTTTCTTAAAGGCCGAGTGTTCTATGGAACATACTTTAAAAATCCCTTTTAAAGAAGCTTAGACCAGAGAATCTCCAAGGTCTCTTTCAGTTTTACAGCCTCTGAGTCAACGATTCACCAAAAAATATTTTGGGGGGGAGTGATTGAAGTGGAAAAATGTGTTAGTGTTTAGCCAGCTTTGTCCAAAGGATAAGATGCACTGTATTTTGCTTACTAGGGAGTTATTTTCTATAATGGAAGACAAAGAAAGCACAAGACACCCATGGTTTTGTTTGTTCAATCACTGAGAGTAAGTCTCAATTATTGAGACTTACGATGTGCCGGTGTGCTTAATTCTAGTTATGAAATTTTAATAATGAATAATATAGATTCTATTCCTTATATGAGTTTCCAAAAGCATTGTCCAGAACATCTATATTAAAATATCTTATCATATACAATATATGTAATTTAAAATGCACTCAGAAAATCTGCTTGTTAAAATGCAGATTCTAGTGCTTCACCCTAAATAGTCTAATTTAGACGGGCCCAGGATTTTAAACTAGCATCTTATAGCATACTTATGTACACCAACATGTAAGAACTGCTGCTATTAAGATTCTGGGATGGTGGTTGAGAACAGGAGCTTGTTGTCAGGTGGCTCTAGATTGGACAGAGAAACTCATACTGATAAGGTGAGGATTGTCAGGAAATAAGGCAGGCATCTAGCCTCGCATTAAGATGAGGTATAGAAGGCAACTGATACATACTAAGTGCTCAAAAAATATTAACTCCCTGTCCTCCATCATGGCTCAAGAAAATACAACAGCTGAGCACACCCACGGGTTGCTTACTATTTACTCATCAGTTTAGTGTATCTTATTTTGTTTCCATGTGAATTTACTTGTGAAGAGATGACTGGATTCTCTCCAGAGATAGGAAGATCCCTCCTGGTTTAATTCCTACCTTTATTTATTTATTTTTCAATTAGACTCAGGTATTGATAAAAATTCAAATGTCAGATTACAAAGGTGTGTGGGATTTTTCTTCCCACGTTACACAATTTAAGTCGACTGTTTTCAGATCAAAACTCAAGACAACTCCTTCACCACATTTCCTGTTTGTAACTGAAACAAAGTACACACAAAAGATTTTAAGAAACAGAAGAGAAAAGAATCCGAGGCACAGATAAAGATAAGTTTTACTGTCATGCTGCTTTTAACATAACAGAGCAACATCACCTAGGAAAAAAGTTTGTAGGAGGATTTTTAATCCATATATTTGTCTTATGGCTAGATAAAGATTTCTCTGAAAAAAAGAAGCATGTCAGGTAAGTGGCATTTTAAACTTTTTGTTCCATTTGTGTGTCTAAAAATTCACTTAATTTCTAAGTCCTAACGAGAAGACCCTTAGTATTTAGAAAGTAGTTATTTTAAAAATGTTGGATAACTTTTAGTGTAATTAAAATATATTTTGAAACATGTTAATGAGTATAAGTTGACATTTTTCTTTTGAAAGAAAAATGTGGACAGCATTTTAGAACGTAAATCTAATTACAGCTGTTCAGTAAGTGTTCACTGATAATTATGCCATGTGAAGTACTTGTTATTTTTAAAGAAGCTTTTGTTGACTATGTGTATTCCTCTTTAGTTTAGTTTAGCTATTAAACAGGATAAGTGTAATTCTAATTCCTCAGAGATTAGGCACTATAGTATTTTCTAGAAAGCAATGCAATTGTCAACATTCAGAGAGACAACAATTTTGAAAAGGCCAGTGAAAATTCAATTGCTGTGAGATTAATCATGAGGGTTAGATCCATATTCACTCGCTGTTGTGAAAGGGTTGGATCCATATTGACTCACTGTTATGAATCCATGTTGATGGTTCATTCCTCCTGTATTATTTTATGTACTTTTAATTTATTAAATAAACATCTTTTTGTTGCAAAAGGAAACATGCATATTATGTAATGTGGGAGAACTGTGAAATATATATATTAAAAATTCATACGTATTTTCCATCACCTTAAAAACACAAAATATGTTTTATTTCCTTTCAAATTTTATTTATATACATTCTATATAGTTTGCTTTTCATAACTGAAATAATAATGTACATAATATATCCAGCTTTTTTCACTAACATAACCATGTCCCTTTTAATATAACTTCTGCATAATCATTTTAAATGAATGCACAAAAATGATATCTATTCAGTTATAGTTTAGTCATTTGTTTATTGCTGAACATTTATGTTGTATACAGTTTTTTTTGTTTGTTTTTTTTTGAGACAGAGTCTCTCTTTGTTGCCAGGCAGGAGTGCAGTGGCGCAATCTTGGCTCACTGCAACCTCTGCCTCCCAGGTTCAAGCGATTCTCCTGCCTCAACCTCCTGAGTATCTGGGACTACAGGCGCGTGCCACCACGCCTGGCTAATTTTTGTATTTCTAATAGAGACAGGGTTTCATTATGTTGGCCAGGATGGTCTCGATCTCTTGACCTCATGATCCGCCCGCCTTGGCCTCCCAAAGTGCTGAGATTACAGGCGTGAGCCACTGCGCCCAGCCCTGTTGTATACAGTTTTTAAAAATATTTTTACATGACAGAAAGATGAACAACTCTATAGCTTTTTCTGTAGTAAGGGTTATTTTTTCAGAAAACTTTCTAGAACTGAAATTATTAAGAGATTATGGCATTTTAAGTCTCATTATTGCCAAATTGCTTTTCCAAGAGTGATGCCAATTCCCTCTCATTCTAGCAGTGCTTCTCCTTCACAGGCTGATCTCCTTTAAAAAATCGTCACTAATCTCATAAGCACAACATGCTAACTCATTGTTCAATATGCATTACTTTGATTATAATGAGGTTGAACATTTTTGCATGGATTTTTAAACTGTTTATAGCTATCATTTGTGATAGTCTGATGACCTCTTTTGCTTAATTAGTATGCTTTGTACTTTTAATACCAATTTGTATAGGCCAGCTATGGAGTAAAGATTGCATATATTATAATTTCTGTGAATTGGCTTCCATTGTTCTGTTTGATGGATCTTAAAACCAATTGATTACATAAATCACACAGGGACCATAAGCTGGCATACAATTTTCATACCTCTCCTTATCTTTCCCAGTTCATACTTTAGCAAAGAACAAAAACAAGTGTCCCAATTTTTCTAGTGCCCTGCAAGAAATGAACATAGCATTACTAAGTATAATTCCATGAGCTGATGATGATGGGGAACTCAGAAAGCATGGGAAGACCAAAGACGGTGAATATGACATTCCTCTATTTTCAGGACTAATTAATTCTAAATTTAGAACAGATATGGTAACATTTCCTCCATCGCATTTTGTAGTTCAGACTTCCCCTTTGGGTTTAATACAGGAGCTCCTACATCAACAGTTGAGAACTTTTACAATTTCACAGAAGAGATGCAAAGACAAAGTATTTAAAAACCTCACAGGTATTAAAAGTCAAAACAAAACAAAATTTCACATGAAGGAAGAGAATCAGATGATAGTATTTTTTATATTTAGATAGGTAAAATAAAAAATAAAATAAATTTGAACACACACAAAAGAATAATTATTTCTAGTTAAGTAAAACTACGTATGAAAACAAAAACCCAAGTATTTTCTTTTTTCCTACCTATATGCCTGTAGTCACTGCATCATCCATAATGTTCTGGTATCATAATTCCTGCTGTGTTTCTGCATTTACATAAAATCTGTATTAATGGAATCAAATGGTGAAAACAAGTCTTTGGTCTATCATTAATTTAAATAATGATTCACAATTTAGTTTACTCATCTTCATTTTTTTTAAAAAAAAGGAGTCTCATTGTCTTTACTCAGTTTTATCTTCTCTTGAGCCTCATCACCTTTTGAGGACAATGAAATCCTTTCTTTTAGAGACTAGGTGGGACTAACGTGTAAATTATCTTTTAAACTCAGATGGGTCAAAGACAATGTTTCTCCATTTAATTTAGGTAATATTATGAATTGGGCAGTGTTTTTAAGGAAAGTCAATCCAGGAAAGATTGTCAATTAAAGATCATAGTTCCAAGAAATAAATGTCCCCAAGTTGCTAGTGAATAAGAGAAATCATTATTCGGCACTTTCCCAGACATTTTTGATTACACTTAATCTTCTCAGCATTCCTGAATTAAAGGGAAGAGATGACAAAATTAATAGGCCTTCTTGAAATATTAAAAGAAACATCATAAAGTATTTTATTGGATGAAAGTTGCCATACAACCATGCCATCTTCAGAGGATCTTACTAAGGTTCTTCTCAAATAAGAAACAATAAGTATACATATAAATGAAGTCACTAAATACAGAGAAAGACAAGTTCATCTACAGCAGCACTTTAATCTCAGTAGAATTTCTGAGGTTTACCAATCTCAGGTAAAGTTTAATTGTAGAAGCAATGAAGAGTCTAGCATTGGAGGAATCATAATTTACTCTCTTCTGTCCTCCACCTCACTCTCATATTTATACTTTCTTCAATTAAATTAAGTAAAGTATTGATTGAGGGGAATCATGATGTGCTAGGAAGAGGTAGCCTTAATGTAACACAGATGAAGATATGAAATCCAGTTTTACAATTGTCTTAGTGAGATTCAGCCACACAACTGGTGACTACTCTCATTCCCTTTTCCACAGTTTGAAAATAGGTATCCAAAGCTAATATTACTATTTTCTCTTTCCCCATCACAGCCCACTCCCCAACACACACCATTTACTTCTCAAATAACCCCCTGTTCATAATAGACACATAAGGTCAGTGGATTTCAGATTTGCATTAAAAACAGCATGGTATTTTACTTGAAAGCCTGGAACTGATTTGCGAGCCCCCTCCTGTGCTAATATCCATGATTCAAATGTCTTTTATTGTGGGATGATGGGTAGTGGTTGGGATTGTGCGTGTAGTGATCATGTGTCACGTTCAAAAAATCATCAAGAATGTGCCTTATTTAGCACCAACCACCACCATGGTAAGAAAAACTCATTTTATAAGTAGACTCATGGGGATCATAATACTGCTATTGAGATTTCTGGGTGCCTAAAATAAATATACACATTCATGGAATGCAAAAAGACGTTCATTGCTCTGACAGAGTTTACAAGCCAAGGAAAGCCATTAAGAGAAGCTATATGCTGTAATATACTATAAACTCATACACTTGTCTCAGTTAAAGATAGCCTGAAGTAAAAACAATTAAGGCATTATATTTATTGCTTTTTCTATTGCTAATTGTTTAAGTAAAGGCTTCTGTGTAAATCAAATCTGCCAGCAGAAAGACATTATATTTGCTTAGCTGGGTTTCCTTCCAGAGCACATGCAATTGTGAATTTCAAAGACAGTGCCTGCCAATTACTGTTGGCTTTAAGGGAGTCAGAGGTTTTATAATTAAACCCACCACTATTAGCCCCTGGTAGTTGGAAGCTGGAGAGAAACTTAAATCATGATTTTCCTAGCTGCCATTCCTCTCTGATAATTTCTCGAGTTCTTCGGCTTTTTAACAGTGTAAATAGCTGAATTCAAATTGTGTGGGAGTTTTTTTAAATTGATCAAAGCTATATAAATGAAAGTAATTACAATTAATGAATATTGATACTAAAGGTTACACTTGTTGGGTAAAAAATTTTAAGCACTTTGTGCATCCAGTATTCTAAGAGGCACTGTCTGTACTAAGTAGATACCCACAGGAATATGGAGATATTTATACTGCATATTTAGAATTACTGGGTAAGGGGAGGTATAAAGTATGTGTGTATGTGTGTGTGTGTGTGTGTGTGTGTGTGTGTGTGTGTACGTTTATACAGACCTGAATTCAAGTTGAAAATTTCCATCATTATCTACTTAATATCTACCCTTCTCATGTGTGTGCATTGTTTTTCAAAATGGGGGTATTTATTGTTGGCAAGCAAAAAATTGTGAAAGATATTAAGAATGTCATAAAATACAAAGCCTCCAAATAAAAATCTTCCTGTTTAAAATTTATGTATTATTTTTAAAAACTTGGAAAACAGAAGTGTCAGGAATTACGGACCCTAAAAGCAGAGGAAACCAGAGACCATGTGAAACTGCATCACACATACCTAAACTACTCCCCAATATTAGAACTTAGATTGTGTTTTAAAAGGCCTCCAAGTGGTTATGTGGGGCAAATTTACTCTAACAGTAAACGACAAAACACAACCCTAAAGAAATGTACAGTGTGACCCAAATTCTTGCCTTAGTGTTTCTGACATATTTCATGAAAATTATTAGGACTTTCCCAAAAACTTTTAGTGTAGCATATAGGCTTGTGATATTGATTAGGTTGTTTCTTTGTAGCTGAGAGTCAAATTGTCTTCTTATAGCAATTAATGGACTAACACAACTATTTCAATTCTCTCTTTAATTGGAAAGGAGAAAGCAAAACTTCTATTTGAAATATAATTTTGTCCAAATGATTGGATGATTTATAGCTAGATTCAGTGTAATTTAAAAAATAAGATTAGGGCTTTCTGTTTATTTCCTTGAAGTATGATTGGTTATATTGTACTACATTTTATTTACTCAAACCATAACTATGTATTGAGTATATACTAAACACTACATGCTGTGGCAAGTGGAAAGAAAAAAAATGCTAAGTAGAAAGGAGATCGATTTTTATTAGTGTTCCCGAGGCTCATGAGTGCTAGAGATTTATTATTATTTTCCATGTATTTATTTACCCCTCCTCCAGAAAAAGGGGTATTAGAAATAAGTGTAACAGTATGAAAGATAACCAAATAAGTCAAGGTGAAGGGAAAATAAGGAGAAAGGGATATGATTAGTTCACAAAAATGAGTATCATAAAGCCCTTGAGATTTGCTTAGATTGTGTATCAAAGACAGACAGATGATTAAGTACAATATTCACATGGGATATAATAGCAAAAATGTACCAGTTCTTAAGGAAATCCCCAGGCCTTTATATTTGAGACACCATGTGATGTATTAAATAATGTCTTCCAGTTCATAGTATCCTTGAAATTAATGTATTCAATGAAGAGTTTCATATGGCTTCTTTGTCTTAAAACATGTTTTATTTTGTCCTGAGAACAAAGGCCCAAATGTGGAAAATTGAAGCAAATAAGAAAGAACAACAGAGAATTTTAGATTTTATTTTCTGACTACAACATGAAGTTCAACTCTCTGTTGCCATTTTAGGGCAGATTGTATGCTTTAATGGTCGGCGAGATGGAAGCAGTCTTGACATTCCCTTAAGAAATTTTGAAAACATAACTGGGACATGTCCAGAATAGAAAGTCATCAAAGTCTATTTTACTTCCATTCATGGGTAGATCCAGGTAGTTTCACACAGGCAAGGTCAAAATAATCTTTCTGAAATCAACTTCTCATCCCTTCAGCATCTGATGAGTGAATGATCAAGGTCCCAAAGTATATACTATAGAAATTGGATGCAATAATTATAGCTTGGACTATTTCTAAAGCAGGGTTACAAGTCCAATTTGGCCAAAGGTAAATGATTACTGCATCCATTAAATGCTTAATTTTAACCAATGCGACTCCCTGGTCAACTCTATAATAAATTAACTGTAAAATGAGTTTGTAGGGAAGCTGTTCTATACTATATTATGTTATATTATATAATTGTCACTGTACAATGTACAGTCATGTGCTATGTAACAATGTTTTGGTCTGGCTGGGCTCAGTGTCTCGCACCTGTAATCCCAGCACTTTGGGAGGCCGAGGTGGGCAGATCACTTGAGGTCAGGAGTTTGAGACCAGCCTGGCCAGCATGGTGAAACCCTGTCTCTACTAAAAACTCAAAAATTAGCCAGGCGTGGTGGTGCACACCTGTAATCCCAGCTACTTGGGAGGCTGAGACAGCAGAATTGCCTGAACCTGGGAGGTGGAGGTTGTAGTGAGCCGAGATCGTGCCACTGCACTTCAGCCTGGGCGAAAGAGCAAGACTCCATCTCAAAACACACACACACACACACACACACACACACAACGTTTTGGTCGATGATTGACCACATATATTATGGTGGTCCCTTAAGATTATAATGGGGCTGAAAAACTTTTATCATTTAGTGACTTCATAACTGTTGGGATGTCATAGTGCAATGCATTACTCATATGTTTATGGTGATGCTGGTGTAAACAAACCTACTGTGCTGCCCATTGTAGAAAAGTAGAGCAATACAATTATGTACAGAATATTTGGTAATGATAATAAATGACTATATTAGTGGTTTATGTATTTACTATACTATGCTTTTATCATTACCTTAGAGTATACTTCTTCTACTTATAAAAAAAGTTAACTGTAAAATAGCCTCAGGTAGGTCCTTCAGGAGTTATTCCAGGAGGCATTGTTACAGGAGATGACCTCTCCATGTGTGTCATTGCCCTTGAAGACCTTCTACTGGGACAAGATGTGGGGGTGGAAGATGGTAATACTGATTATCCTGACCCTGTGTAGGCCTAGGGGAAAGAGAAGTGTAATTAACTTTCCACTTTACATTCATGGGGCTCTACATAGTATGAGAAAAGCTCCCTGTGGCCAATCTTAACAAAACTGGGCTCCAGAATTATTGTTTTATCCCAACACATCGTATTCTATACTACTGAGATCAATGGAAGAGAACAGGCCATTTTCTGTAAATAAGGAAAGCGTGTATGATTACAGTCTGAGGATTAAAGAAAGGTGAAAAGTATAGCAAACTAGAATTCTTGGTAATTTGAATGTTGTTGATTTTTGAACAAAAGTTTTTTATCAGTCACCACTTGTCACCTTTTAATAGCTACACAAAAAAGTCGTTTATTTCATAAACACTCAGAATGTGAGAAACTTGAATCCTTTTGCCCATGCTGAATTCAGCAACTTAACACCAACACCCACTTTGAAAACTGAAAAAAGTTATGAATATTAATTAGTTTCCCGGTAGAGACTGTGTACTTCATTATGAATAAATGCAACAGCTTTAACTGTGGCAATAGCCAGACCAAAACAAATGGGTAAGCAGCTGTTATATTATGTGTATGTTTATTTTAATTTCCAGGAATCTCTGGGTGCCCCTTTTTCCTCTGGGGACTTCTAGCATTGTTGGGCTTGGCTTTGGTTATATCACTGATCTTCAATATTTCCCACTATGTGGAAAAGCAACGACAAGGTAAGACATTTTGACAAATTTCACATGGTACCTGCTTGAATGGAGACTATGGAGTCACTGGAAAACCTATGGAAGCAGACAATTTTATGAAATGTCATTCAACAGGATATTTTTATCTATAGAAAATCTATTTGCTAATTTTTCTCGCCCAAAGGGTTCTCTTATTTAAGAATGCAATCATATTAGAAATGTGAAATAGTTATCCAATTTAGGAACTCTTCTTTAGGGTGTAGAGTGGGAAGGGATTATCCTGGTAAATACGTTTTTCCTCCTCCAGTTGAAAAACCTATGAAATTGTAGTCTATGCTGGGGCAGCCATCAAGGTTCTCTCTGATACATAATAAACAAAGGGAAGTCTAGCTCTTTAAGATTCCATTCAAGCCAACTTAATCTTCTCAGGATCAGTCAGGCATTCTCACATGCAACACAAAAGAGCGGGGTCAGAAGACGACTGGAAAAGGAAGAGATTGAACCATGGGCTTGCTGTCAAACACTCCCAGAGTCTAGGAGAGGTCAAGAGTATCTGCCACTGTCAGCTTTGCTTTTTCAACATGCTGGGCATAAGTTTTAACCATGTGGCTTTCAATCTGCATATGCCACAACTGAAATGGCCTGAAGCCCAGCAGCTGGCACAGCCTTTGTATGCTGTAGGCATCCAATTCATGTTGAATATGCATGGATCCATGTTGAATCCATTACATGTTGAATACATATGGATGGATGGGAGAATGAAAGTTCAAATATTGCTGGAAGGTATCTTTTTTTTTTTTTTTTTTTGAGACAGGATCTTGCTCTGTCGCCCAGGCTGGAATGCAGTGGCATGATTATAACTCACTGCAGCCTCAAACTTCTGTGCTCAAACAATCCTCTTGCCTCAGCCTCTCAAGTAGCTAGGATTACAGGCATGCACAAACACATCCAGCTAATTTTCAGAAATTTTTTGTAGAGATGGGAGTCTCACTATGTTGCCCAGGCTGATCCTGTACTCTTGTTCTCAAGCCATCCTCCTGCCTTGGCCTCCCAAAACACTGAGATTACAGGTGTGAGCAACCACGCCCAGCCTGGAAGGTGTTTAAATACCAAGAAACCCTTAAGGGCAGGACATATAAGTGGTAATAAAAGAAAAGAAAAGATAAATGCATTTCCTTTTAACAGAGGAAATGAAATAAAACTAAGTTAACAAAATTAACTTAGACACATGTGTCCAAGAAAAATGTCATAGAGCTAATTTAGAACAATGGTCAGATTGCAGCAAATGTCCTTGCTTCACTTAGAAATATCTTAAGCACCGATAATACTAATATAAAATATGAAGAAGGGATTATTGTCATGCAGGTTTGAAAATAAGATGAGAGGTACTCGAAAATGGAGTGGTCTAGCTGAAGCCACACATCTATTCAATAGCAAAATCAATGATAAGTGTCCAGTTTTTCTAATTCTCTGTCCCAAAAGGTTTCTACCAGTACATCCTTCCTTGACATTGTTGACCAGTTGTCCTCAGCCAGAAACCCAACACTCTTTTTGGATCTCTATTATATCAATTCTATGGCTAAGGTGAAATTTATGACAAGCAATCTTTTTCATTAGCAATGCTTTCAGTAATCTTTTAAAAATCCAATATATTTTCAAATAAACATAAACTATATAAGTCAGATGTATAAATGACCCATCATCAAACATCTTCTACAGTTTCCCTCCTTTATAGATAAAAATGAGCTCAGAGTAGCACTTTGCTTTATATATCGAATTGGCTATTTTAACTTCTTTATTAAGATATCTTATAAATCCAGATAATATATAGCCAGAATTACAAAAAAAATGTGAATTGAGATCTACAGAGAGTAAATAATTTAAGGTGACAACCAAGACAAGACCAGTAACCTGAATTAGTACCTCACTCTTTCATTGATTCCACTGATAATCCTTTTAAGATTGCTGAGGGGCCAGGTAACAGGTAGACATTGACATGCTTACCTTGAGCTCAATTGTCTAACTTAAAATTTATCTAGCAAATGTGACCTATTTACTTTCAACCTTAATAGTCAATTTTTTCAGTCCTATGATTGCATGAATTATGGATGTTAAGAACTGCTTTTTATCAACATCATCAAGATCAGGACTGGTATAATTTCACTAATGTAGTACTTCTGCCCCAGAAGTATTCAGCTGTACTAGTCTTTTACAACTCATTGTAAATAGGTTTTACAATTCTCATTTTTGGTAGTTTGTGCATTGGGATTTATTTACCCACATGCATACCTTTTTGCCTCCATGCAAACTCCTTTGTGTAGTTGCTTACTATGGTAATTTGACCACTGCAGAAAGACAGTAGCCTTACTTTAAAAAGCATCGTGTTTGGTAGTTAAAAAAGCAGTGCCTGTAATCCCAGTGCTTTGGGAGGCAGAGGTGGGTGGATTGCCTGAGGTCAGGAGTTCGAGACCAGCCTGGTCAACATGGAGAAACTCCATCTCTACTAAAATTACAAAAATTAGCTGGGCATAGTGGCGCATGCCTGTAATCCCAGCTACTCGGGAGGCTGAGGCAGGAGAATCGCTTAAACCCAGGAGGCAGAGGTTGCCATGAGCTGAAATAGCGCCACTGCACTCCAGCCTGGGTAAAAGAGCAAGACTCTGTCAAAAACAAAACAAAACAAAAAAAAACCACGTTTTCATTTTGTTATTTCAGGACAGATTTTTTCCTTTTCAATTGTGCAAACCCTTACTGCCCCAAGCATGCCATAAGCAGCTCTATTACCTAAAAGTAGTGTAATGGAAAGAACATTTTTAAGAAAACAGTGAACAATAAATTGCATTTATTGATGTATTTTTTAAATAAATTTTGCTTCTCTCAATTGTTTTTAATAGTATACCTTTGAAGTAGACCTGATGTAAATTAGAACTCTGCCTTCAATATTTAGCTGGAAGATCTTGTACAAGTAACATAATTTCTCTGAGTTTCAGTTTCCTTATCTATAAGATGTGGAAAATACCATCTAGACCCTAGGGTTCTTGTAAGAATTACACACACACACACACACACACACACACACACATCTTTGCATAGTGCTGGGGACTTAGTAGGTCAGTCCTAGATCTGGTGCAGCCCATCACCATACCTAGTGGCCGTGTTGTTTCCTTCCTTCTTTCCACAAATAATTATTAAGGATCTACTATGGCTATATGTCATCCCATGTAATTTTCACATCTGTTATTTTGGTGAACATTGGTTTCTCTGGCTACTTTGCTGCTCCCACCATCCCTATGCCCCTCTAAGTCCTCTCCAGCTCCAACTTCACTTTCCTCATCTCTATATTATTTAACACATCTGTACAACACCCTGAGCTTTAGCACTAAATGTTGTGGTCATGTATGTCACATTCAGGTCCATTTCAGAGAGTTTTCTGTAGAGTTTTATGGAATTGATTCTAAACATTAGCTTATCACAAAACCTTTTATTTGAGCAGTAATGTACCCTCATTAGGTGGAGCATACACTGGAACTTGCATTTTATTGGTGTGCAATTGATGTATTCATCAACGCTAAGAATGTCCTTTGTTCTTATCCCACCTCCACCCTTTCTCTCTGCCCCAACTTCTCCTAACATCTTTTCCCAAGTATTAGTAATAGCTCTGCCTTTCTTTCCATCCCATATGAACAAATAGAACTATCTTTGTTTCTAACCCAGAGATTTCAAATATATTTCAGAACTGCTCTGCAAACAGTTCAGTTCCTTCCAATCTTCCTGAAGAAGACTTCCTGCCTTATTTCTCTGGGACAAACAAACTATAATAAAAGAGATTCTATTGTATCAACTGGCTTTTCTGCCACTTGGGCTGTGAATGAAATGCCCCTGTATCTGGCCTCATATAACTTTTTATGTTTGCATCTTTTTGTTACTCTTTGTGGCTGAGAAATTTGCAAGATCTGACTCCACCTTGGTTAGTCAGTGAATAAGTTTTGCTGGTGTAATAAATAGCGTTCAAAAGAAAATCTCCATTTCAGCAACAATACAATATCTGCACATTCAATCAGATAGACCAGATAAGCCTCCCCTTGATGTTTTCTGTAGCAGCTAGGTAGAAGCTTTGAAATGGAGTTCTCTCATTCTCCCTAAAATAAATCCTTCATTTTTTATGTGATTCTTTGTTCAAATCTGTTCTTTAGGAGGATTATATTTATTTCTTTTTCTGATAGGAGTGCATTCACTTTTTCCTTCTTTAAATCCAAAAACTATTCTTTGTTTAACTCTTCCTCTCTGGTTTGGAAAGAAGGATAAACAAGCGTATGGTTTGGTCATACATCAAAGTCCTATCAGTAGGAAATTATGGCATCTTCACATTTAACATGTATCAGAGAAATTTCATTATGGAGTTTAAACTATGTGCCGTTGTCTATTCTTGTACATAGGAGGGTTAACACTCTAAGAGGAAAAACATAAAAGCAAACATATTTGCATCACACCCTCTCAACTACAAACCTGACCACAAGTGTTTGCATCTGAATCACAGGAGAGGATTATGAGAGCTCACCTAGTTCTTCCCACGCACAGTCTTGCACATTTCATTGCTTTATAGCAAAGCATACACTTTTTTTATTTTGCTAAATGTCATTGAAATCACCAGGCAGCTTTTAAATTAAGTCATGCCACTTATTTTTAAATAAACTTTTGAGCCTTCATGACAGAGCAAACTTTTCAGAAGCCTGAGCTTGCTGGCTTTTATTCTGAGCTGTAACCTCTGAACTTCTCACTACGGCTCATTTAAAGAGATTATAACCTTCTTCTAGGGAGGACTGCAAAACAAAATTACCCAAGTACTGATGGCTCAGCTGCAGATTATACATTTACATCCTAAAAGTAGCATGGAATGGGGTGCCCTTGAACTTCTTACATCCCATTTCAGGTGCTCCCTTTAACCATTACTTGTTTTCTTTATTTTCCCCCCAAATTGGTTTAGTCCCTTTCCTTCCATCTAAACATCACATTATTATATTGTATCCTTTATATAGTTGCTTCTATTTCCTTTTTCCCACACAGTTTTTGTCTTTTTTTTCTTTTATTCCCCTATTGATAATACATTCAGCACATTCCCATTCAATAGAGTTAGTTGTTTGTTTGTATTTATTTATTTATTTATTTATTTATTTATTTATTTATTTTTTGAGAAAGTCTTGCTCTGTCGCCCAGGCTGGAGTGCAGTGGCACGATCTCAGCTCACTACAACCTCTGCCTCCTGGATTCAAGCGATTCCCCTGCCTCAGCCTCCCGAGTAGCTGGGACTACAGGCGCATGCCACCATGCCCAGCTAATTTTTTGTATTTTAGTAGAGATGGGGTTTCACCATTTTGGCCAGGATAGTCCCGATCTCCCGACCTCGTGATCTGCCCACCTTGGCCTCCCAAAGTGCTGGGATTACAGGCATGAGCCACCGTGCCCGGCCAGAGTTAGTTTTTATGTGTTACACTAGTATTCTTTCTAGGCACCAGCGTTCATACTTCAAGCACCTCCATCTGAAAAATCCACATTATCTTTTAAAAACATTAGCCTGTTTGGGGAATTATTTTTACTCCATACCTACTTTTTCTTATTCTTATTAAGCAATGACACTCTTCACTTTTGTTTTCAATGTTTTTGCTGATTTTTTTCCTTTTCTTTCAAATTAATGCTCAGCTGGTGACTATCCTTTTGTCAAGAGTGAGATTTTAGTAATTTCATTTCAAATCAAGCATTACTTATATATCTTTTAACTTCAAAATATCATACCATCTTAATAATACCAGTGTGTTTTCAACTAACTCGTTCATTGAAACTTCCTGACTCAAATGAGTGCAATTAATTTCTGGCTTGTTATATAATATGTATTTAGAATGTATGTATAATATTAATAACAAACTTTGTCATTAAAAAATGTTTTTACAGAAAATATTTCATTTACCTCTGACATGTACTCTGTGATGTAGGCATTATTGTCCCTACTTCATGGATAAATTGAGCACCAGAGCTTTAAAGCAATTTGCGTGTTGTCACAGGGCAAATGCATTGCAAAACTGGTACCAAATCCATATCTTCTGATTCTTAACCCTGGATTTGTTCCATTATACATCAGGCTACCATTTGACTAAATTCTTATGCATCTACTTTAATTCCAGGCAAATCTGCAAAATAATTAGTGGCCTGAGTGTAAACATTTTCTTCACATAGAAGGAAATCAACATATACTTTATGTCATGTCTTATTTATCAGTTTACAATTTCCTGGTCTATATTAACTATGTTTTCTTTATATGCTTCTTGACATTATTTACATTTCTCAGGTTTTTTGATTTTGCTGAACTTGTGGCTACTATGCAATATGTTTTAGCCTCTCTAGGCTTCTCCCAACATTTGTGTGCACTTGTATTCACAAGACTAGTATGAAAGTAGTTGAAAATAACTGCATCTTTTACATGCAGTTCATGGTAGAACATTTCCTCTGGACTAGAAGTATGTTTCTGACATATTCCAAATGGAATACATTCATCACTTTTGGTCCCATAGCAGCTTAGTGCATATGCTCCGCAAAATCTTCCCTCATTTAGTCCTTCACAGAATTCTTCCAAACACATTGACATGTGACATGTCCGTTTCATCCTCCAGTATGATTACTTTCATAAATTGTTCCACTAATGTGTCTTTAACAGTTAATAACCTCTCTGGAGAATAACTCAACTTTGTTACACATAAATTTAACTAAAATAAGTTTTGTAGTTGTTTGGTGACTTACTGAATTATTTGAAAATGTTATTGCTAGTTCCTTACTAATATAGAGTGTTTTCACATGTTCAAGTTGAAAGATAATCATTTGGTCACTATTTTCTCGTGATTATTGTCAGAGAGTTAGATAATAGTGGTCTTTATTTTTACATTAATAACTTTTTTGCAAGGTTTTGGCTTTTATTTAATGCCAGGTTGAAAAATAAGCCATTCAAATATAATAAACATTGTGCTGTATGTGTGCATCTAGTTCAACAGTAAAGAAAATTTACTGATGAATGGATAATACAGAATTTTCTATAACATTGATGTTAAGACTGTACCCTGATTATCCCTTACTTTTTTTCAATAATTCATCATGAATCTATTGCCTTCAATTAAAGAAAATTCTTAAAACTACATTTGTTAAATAGCTTTTGAATTCTTATATTTGACCTAGAAGTAAAAATACTTTTGTTTGGCTTTGAACTGCCTCATTCAAGGTTTAACAGTGAGTTGCTTACTGAGATTCATCACATAGTTTTTTTCTGTGGTTTTGTTGTCCTACAACACATCTCTGGTAAGTCTTGTCCTGGCAGACCAAAAATAACTTTTCTTTTCTTAGAAGCTGTTCTACTGTTTCGGTTAATTTTAGAGCCTGTGTTCCAACTTTTTCCAGGTCTCTTCTTCCTAGCACACTCATTTCTCCTTCCCACTCCTTTGTACAATGTGGATGAAATGAAGTCATGATCACAGCAGCTTTCTTAATATCATTTTTATGTTGTTACTCATGCCAAGAAATGTTAAAAGTAGATAGATAGATAGATAGATGATAGATATAGATAGATGATAGATAGATAGATAGATAGATAGATAGATAGATAGATAGATAGATAGAGATTGATAAAAGAAAAGTCTCCTATTGATTTTTTTCGTTTTTGGTAACAAAGAAAAGCCTATTCAAACCACATGGGCAAAGATAAAAACTTATAAGAATGCAGAGGTGTTTCATGGAACCCAAAGGCAGAAAGTACAGTCATGCCCTGCAGTGGACTGGAGCCACAAGGGAGGCAGGAAGGAAGGTTCCAGCTCTCTCTGCTTAGTGTTTCTGTGCATAAAACCGCAATGCATCCAGGCTGTACATCGTCTCCAAGCTGCACTGTTTCCACCCCAAATTACCAAGAAAGTTGCTCTGGTTTCTCTTCAAGTCATATAAATCTTTCTTTCTTGGTAATTTGGTAAAAGGCAAATCTGATTGGCCCAAGAGGAGACCTTTAACCCTACTTCAATCAGAGGTGCCCTGAGAGCCTTGGTCAAATATATTAATTGACATTGAGGCTAAACTCCCCTCAGAACACACTTTAGAATATTTAACAAAGGTATGTCAACATTTCTTTTAACTTGTCTATTTTGAATATCTTTCAGATAAAATGTACAGCTACTCCAGTGACCACACCAGGTATGTTGTGATTCAGTCATGGATCATGATTCCCAACTAATAAGCAAAAGTAACAATGCTATATTGTTTAAAGATTTGGCTCATGGATATTGTACTTAGGTTAAAATGAAATGAAAAGTGAGTTTTAATTACTTTTACTCTCATCTAAAGATCAGAAGCTATAACATTATTATCTGTCCTAGTTATTTGCACACTGTGAGTCAACAAGAAAGCTGGTTGAAGGATAAAATGAGATTCTAACCTGATAACTATAGAATTATCATTAATTTCAGAGGTAGATAGCCTAGATTATGATCCAGCTTAGATACAGAATTGTGCTACACTTCAAAATCCATAGTAGAAAACAATCTGGCAACCTAATACAATTTAAGATATGTATACACGGGCCAGGCACGGTGGTTCATGCCTGTAATCCCAGCACTTTGGGAGGCCGAGGCAGGCAGATCACGAGGTCAGGAGATGGAGGCCATCCTGGCTAACATGGTGAAACCCTGTCTCTAGAAAAAAAACAAAACAAAACAAAAAAAAATTAGCTGGGCGTGGTGGCACATGCCTGTAGTCCCAGCTACTCAGGAGGCTGAGGCAGGAGAATCACTTGAACCCGGGAGGCGGAGGTTGCAGTGAGCCAAGATGGCACCACTGCACTCCAGCTGGACGACAGAGTGAGACTCTGTCTCAAGAAAAAAAAAAAAAAAAGATGTGTATACACATAGATATACACAAGGATGAGTAGCGCTATGCTGTTTGTAGAGTTAATGTCAATCAATAGGGAAACGTGATGAACAGATACTCTGAAAGAATATGCTGTTATAGATATCACTTATTCTCTTTAATAGTTATTGAGCTATTTGCAAAGAAATTTGTATAGTAGTATACATTTTTTTAAAAAAAATATTTATGGCATAAATCGTAGTAAGGAAATTTTACTTTTTTTGTATAGAATATTCTGACCCAGATGTGTCAATGTATTGGAGATTTCTGTTTTAGGGGTAAAAAAAAAAATCTAAATAAAGAGAATTTCCTAGAGGGCTCTTCAAGACCTTTCTGAAATGGTAGACTGAAAGGTCTTTGAAAAACACAGAGCTTTCTCACTGGGTAGGATAAGAACATAAGCCTTTTTGGTCTCTTTAAGGTCTTTTTTTTAAAAAAATTCTTTTTCCATGTGAAAATTTCTTGAGCAAGTATAAGATCTGGGCTGCAGGCATACCCCGTCACACACAAAATCTGTTTTTATGACTACTCTTAACATTGAATTATTTAACATTAGATACTTTTCAAGTCATTAGTTTATATCAAGAATGATTTGCTTACTGCTCTTTTGGTTTCTTTTTACAACACATAATGATGAAAATCCTATATAATCACACAGTAAGAGCTAATCTCTTTAATGATCTATTTAATACTTGTAATTTGAAGGGCAATTAAGATGCAATGTGATAGAAAGTCTTGTGATTTGACTATTTAGCTAAATTAGGTTGATGGTTTAGGGATTAGGATGGGAGCAATGAGAGGGAAAATTGGTAAAATACCTGCCTCAAAGCAATCAGGCTTTTAGCTGTAGGGCAAATGTAAAAAAAAAAAAAAAGCTTTTATAACATTTATTCATTCAATAAATATTCACTCAACAAACAGGCACTGTGCTAGACAATAGCAAAATAAGTTTGCTGATTACCAATCCCAAGGGAGGATATAGGATAGCAAAGATCATTACTATGCCAACCACCAGGAATAGGAGTCTGAGCGCTTCAGCCCACTGTGTCTTGGGATGCACATTTACTACTTTCCTGAGTCTGGTGAGACAAAACACACAAACAATGAGTTACATAAAGTGAGCTTATTACTTACTCAGCAAAGGACAACCAAAGTCTAAGATTCATTCAGAGATAGTTCCCCAAGCCTCAGAAAAGCTGTCCAAGGTGGATGGAAACTCATCTTCCTGTTCCCCACCTGCACTGCAGCTGAAGGACTCCAGAAAGCAGCCTACCTTTGGGTTTACCCCTAAGGGGCAACATGATATGCTGGGCTAAAGCACTGAAGGATATCCTGTTTCTGTGAGAGACTAGAATAAAACCTAGGCTGTTCCAGCTGATTCTTCTTTATCCCTGAAGGTTGCATTTCCAGCACATTCTACAGTTATTCTTAAAAATTAGAAGTGAGAAAAGAAGGACCAGTTGGGTGCAAAGTCACCCAGAGAACTGTCCTGCAACAACAAAGATACAAAGATGGAAAGGCATGAATCTTTCCCTTAAGGATTTATAAAATAACCTATTGTCTATTGTAACAAATCTCCAGTTAGGCAAAATTTGAATATACAATGCAGATTTTTTTCTATAAAAAAGCGTTGATATTTTAATTCACAAGTTTATGTATATACCTTATATTTTGTCTATTTCTCTTGCTTATGTGGTTTGGGAACAAAAATCTCTTTTGTAAAGGGGCATGGAAGCTCCACAAACAAACCAGTAAGCGAACTAAAAACTATCTGAATCCATTAAACATTAAAACAGGGCAAGTGAAAATAAGGTCTATGTTTCTCGGGTGGGGCTTGCGTTACTGATGCCTCTTCAGTTCCAACATGGTTTGTGGCCATAGAGAAAGGAAATAAACTTCTATCGCACTGGGTTCTCTGTTGCACTCTCTCCCCACTCCTATTCAATACTGGCTTATGCTGGAAGGGAAAGGAATTGCTTCTCTCATCTTATTTCTCTGTTTCCCCATTCCCTGCCCTTCCTGCAACAGTACGTCAGAAACATGATCACTTTAAGGAAACCATAGCACCTAAATCAAGCAGAAAATCAAATACACACTTTCTGCTATTTATTCTTGGGTCACTTTATTTCTCATTTAAAACATAATTCTTGCCTTTTGGTTTGTGTTAGGAGGATAATACTGTGAGACTATCATGGATTTGAGATCCAGGCAATTCTGAATTTTAAACAGACTTGCAATTAGTGGATTCGTAGTCTTGGGGAAATGAGCATTGGTGAAATTTGGTTTTATCATATGAAGAATAAGGTTTATAATATAATACTTTATTTACAGAGGGTAGTTGACTAAAAAGCTGCTGTTTTATTGAATAAAAATTAATGCCTCTGAAAATTCCTGCCCACTTGCAGTATGTTCACACCCTAATTCAAGAAAGCAGTTCAGGTTTACAATTACATTAAGCTTATCATGACTCCTCAGTTTTCAGAGTCTCTCTCAAAAAGCTTAGGATGCATTTCCAGCAGATTTTCATGAACTGCTTCTGGGGGACACTGGAGGTGCTTTTATCATAAAACATTAATTCAGCTCAGCTACTCTTCTACTTTCCGGTGATTTCTTGAATTTCTGGAGCTCTGCAGGGTGGGGATCTTCTGTATTTCCTTTCTTTGCTAACTATGCTACCTAAATATAACTAGTCTCATCTGTCCTCTTCACCCATTCTCAAGGTTGAGAATCCTTATGACAAGAGAACTCTTGGGTCCCCTTCCCTGACATCACAGACTTCCAACTGGCTATGCAGGTGGGGCCTTCACTAGACCCAGTACCACATGTGTAACCAAAGTGTCTCTACGTCTTCCAGCCTCCTGTTTGTTTCAATGTACAAATAATCATAACCCAAGCCCCAGCCCTGTATAACTACAAGAAGTCTGGTCCCTTTCCTAAGCAATTCTGAGAATTTCGGGGTTCCCCAAACCTTATTCTTGGCTGCCCCCTTGTCACCTCTAGCTCCGTCACTGCTCTTGGATTCTCCGTCATTTTAGAAATTGTCATGCTGGCAGTTCTTTCCAGTATCCTTTCCGCCAAACTTTGGCGAAAGACCCTTCTTTTCAAGTGCTCTAAAGCACTGGCAATGTGAGCTCATTGTGCTTAACAGACTTTACAAAGAAATGAGCATATTAGAGAGGCACGTGAACACTAATCAACAGAATGAGAATTTAGTGTTAGATATCATGGCTATGAGCATCCATTAACCATCACTTCAGAGACAACACTGCTGGATTCACTTCTCAGCCTCAGTCACACAAAATAGTGCTAGGATTTATATTCTTCCTCTGGATCAGGGTTCTCTATTTGGTGCCCTCCTGCGCCAAGTTCAAGACATCTACACTCATACCACAGCCCATGCCAGAGAAAGCGAAAATGTAATAAGCATATATGCATCACTCTGTCAACTTTTCCTTTGTGATTCTGCATTGTTACTTTTTCTGTCCCCTTTGTATCATTCCCACCAATATATAAACAGACTGTATTGTTTATACCTTTAAAAAACCAACCATCTCCTTAAAACTAGATTGCCAGCCGGGCGTGGTGGCTCACGCCTGTAATCTCAGCACTTTGGGAGGCCGAGGCAGGCAGATCACCAGGTCAAGAGATTGAGATAATCCTGGCCAACATAGTAAAACTCTGTCTCCATTAAAAATACAAAAATTTGCTGGGCATGTCGTCATGCGCCTGTAGTCCCAGCTACTTGGGAGGCTGAGGCAGGAGAATCACTTGAACCCAGGAGGCGGAGGTTGCAGTGAGCCAAGATCACACCACTGCACTCCAACATGGTGACAGAGCAAGACTCCGTCTCAAAAAAACAAAAACAAAAATAAACAAAACAACAACAACAACAACAAAACTAGATTGCCTTACAGCTACCTCTTCATTGCTCTTTTCTCTTTTACAAGAAAACTTGAAAGGTCCCTCTATATTCTGTCCATATTTGCTGGCTTTTCTTCCTCTTTTCCTCTTCTTTCTTGAACCTACTCTATTCCATATGTCCTCACTAATACACTGACTCTACTCTTGTCAAGGTTACCATGATCAAATCTCGGTTTCAGCTTGCTGAGTCCCTCTGCAGCATTTGACACCCTGACACTCTCTACTTGAAACACTTGATTCTCTGGGCTCTGAGCCACCTCCCTCTTTGGTTTTCTTCTTCTCTTACCAGCAGCCCCTTCTCCTTTGCTGGTTTCTGAATCTTAAACATCACAGTTCCCAGGGCCTCATTCCATAAATAATGTCATCCTCTCTCATGGCTTTAAACATTTACACACTTACGGATCCCAAGCTTACATCTTTGCCTATTCAGAGTAACAACTATGAAGCAAATCAGGTTAGCAATTACCAAAACCAACTTCTGATGGATCCCAAAGCTTGTCCTTTCCCATCTCTGGCAACTTCTCAGGCCCTTAAAATAGATTTATTTCGTTTTGTAAAAAAGTCTTTCAATTTTATTTGGATGTTGGAATCCTGCATTTGTATTCTAGAACTTGGGAACTGAAAAGAACAATAGAAATCAACTAGTTTAATCTCATTTTTTAAGTAAGACAATCTAAACTTAGAGAATTTAAGTCCAAGGTGATCAGGTAGAAGTAGTGATTTTTTTTTTTTTTTTGAGACGGAGTCTCGCTCTGACTCCCAGGTTGGAGTGCAGTGGTGCAATCCCGGCTCACTGCCTTCTCTGCCTCCTGGGTTCACGCCAGATTATTTTTTAATTTGAATTTAGTTATTTAAATGGACTTTGATCACAAACTACTTGAGGAATTTTTTAAATAAAAGACCTAATAAATAATAAATATAAATATAAATGTAAAAAATAGGAACTAGAAAAAATATAAATGTGGCCAGGCACAGTGGCTCACGCCTATAATCCCAGCACTTTGGGAGGCCGAGGCGGGCAGATAATGAGGTCAGAAAATCTAGACTATCCTGGCTAACACGGTGAAACCCCGTCTCTACTAAAAATACAAAAAATTAGCTGGGTGTGGTGGCGGGCGCCTGTAGTCCCAGCTACTCGGGAGGCTGAGGCAGCAGAATGACGTGAATCCGGGAGGCGGAGCTTGCAGTGAGCCGAGATTGCGCCACTGCACTCCAGCCTGGGTGACAGAGAGAGACTCTGTCTCAAAAAAAAAAAAAAAAAAAAAAAAAAGAAATACGTGTATATATATATGAAAGCACAAAGTCTGGACCATAGTAATAGATATAATTAATATATTTTTCTTAATTTTGGAGTGTCAGTAAATGTACTTACTGGTTAGAGAATTATTTCAGGCATGTTCAGAACAATGGAGAGTCTGGTCTGGCTGAAAACTCAGAGGTACACTAGCCTCTCAGATATGAGTTCAATTATTAATTTATTTTTAAAAGTAATTAATCATCCACATAAAATACTGCCAAACATTTGCTCCTGAGGTTTATTACACATTTACAACAGGCTGGAGCTATTTGGCATTGCCAAGAATATATTTTTAAATTTGTTTGTTAGGCAATTGCTCCTGAATAATAGTTTATTTGAGATGATTAATCATTTGAGATGGGCCTGTAGACACAGGACACTGCATTATAAATCACATCTTATTTTCATTCATAGGGAATAAAACAATACTCATTTTTTGGACATGATTTATCATTTGCAAGTTGGATCTGCCATCTATGTGGGCTAGGAAAATGGATGGATTGTCTTATTAAAAATTCTTCAGTTTTTGCTATTATATTCTTGGCATGGAGAAAAATCATGAGCAGGGACTACTTGATATCCCAATATTAAGCTGTATTGAATTACCGGATGGAAAAAAGGTTACAGATGAGTTCCTTTGTTATCAGATGAGTGAAGTGTTTGCCCATATCTGGGCTTTTCAAGCCATTTCATACAGGTATCATTTGAACTGTTATTTTTTTAATACCTACGTACTATTTACATATACTGTGTCTTTTTTCAGTGGCATAGAGAGTAATACAGGTGTTATGCCTTGAGATAAGAGTCCTTTTTTTTTTTCTTTTGATGAAATTCCCTCCAGCTCTCAGTGACATGTAATCTCAAAGTTAAAGCAGTCGGTACTATTTTATGAAATGCGACTCTCACCACCTGATAAGTTCCTCAGTTCCCAGACTGCCATTGTGAAATCTGGTCACTAGGGCCATCATCAATGGTAGGATGACATTGGTAGAATGACAGTCTAGTGACAATGGTAGGATGTATACTGTAATCCTAATAGCATTACTCACGTGAGGCTGGAAGGAACTTTAATCAGCTAGCAAGAGCAAATAGCTGTGTATTCTTGTCAGTTCTCTTGACCTGAGGGTCGGGGAGACATAAAACTGTGGTCCCTGTATAGTCTCTAGACTGTTTCCCCACAGCCTTTGAATTGTATCACCCACTGAATAACTTCCTCATGATGTGGACTGAGCACGGGGCTTTACAACTAAACTTGCTGTACAATCCTAGCACTGCCAGTTACTGACTGTGTATCTGTGGACAATGTCATTAACCTCTATGAGCTGCAAATACCTTATATGCACAATAGGGATAAAATATGCATCTCATATGATTGTCCTGAGGGTTGAATGAGCACTTGCATAGAGAAAAGGTTTCACAACTGGTAGTTATTGCTGATAGTTGAGATCAGCCTAGGGAAAATAAATTAATCTATCTGAATCTCAGGGTTCTCCCCTGTAAAGCAGGGAAGAATACTACTACTTTTGGAGAATTTTCTTTGTGAGTTTTTGATACAATGTATGTAAAACACCTAACTCACCATCTGGACATAATAGGTGATCAATCATTTTATTGCATCTGCTAACCTCAGTCTGTAATACTCAGAAAACATGGTTTTAAGAGATTGTTTGGACTGATATTCTGGGTGAGTAAAGAGGCAGTACATTGTACAATAAAGAGCATGGATTACCTGGGTTCTAATTCTAACTCTGCTATTTGTTAGTCGTAATCTTGAGCAAGTCATATGACCTCTCTGTGCCTCAGATTTCTTATCTGCATAAGGAGGATGATATAGTACCTATGTTGGAATTGAGAGAATTAAATGAACAAACATAGGAAATATACTCGATGTAGCGCCTAATATACAGTTACTATTGAATAAGTATTTGCTATCATGATTCCCTGTAAGAAGATCCAAAAACCAACTTTTTAAATTCACACGGAACACAGATACACATACACACATGCATGCACGTGTTCACTCACTTGCACAAGAACACACCTACCGTGGTTGGCTGGGGGTAACCAAGAATAGGCAATAGTTCACTTAATATTGAATTTAGCTGAGAAGTCAGTTATGAATTATGTGAAAAGTGGAATCTAATAAGGTAAATTATTTTTCCTTGTTATAGGGTTGATGAGTATTATATTGAAGACACACCAATTTATGGTAACTTAGATGATATGATTTCAGGTAAGTTTTCCATAAGTTAAATTTATAAATAAGTAAATCCCAGTTGGTTTCACAAAATAATTTAAGTGGCGCTTTAAAAAAATCAAATCACACTTAGCTATCCCAGTGATAACCATCAATTCAAGAACTTTTAGTATATTAATTAGGCTACATTTCCAAAGCTGCATATTGTAAGTTGTATTACAATAGCCACTCTAAATCAACATCCTGTTTTTCTATATTCTCTTCATTTCACTCTAGTAGTAATGAGAATACAGGAAGACTATTACCATGAATTTCAACACACACCGAATTCTATGAAATAAAGCTATTTCTAGGACAGAAAGTGGTCCACAGAAACAGTGCTTTGTGCTCAATATACAAAAGCAAATGTACAGTGAATAGCATGGAACAATGAACAGTTTCTTTGGTTTCTCATATTCTAAATAGAGAATGTAGGGCTGGATTGATGGCAGGTGGGAGAAAGAGGAACTAAATTGTTGCTGAGTGGTTTATATATTTATTTTGTTCTTATGTAATAAGCGCTCTTCAGTTCCCAGCATCCCTTATCACTTGTGTCATCCCAGACATCTAAAAATGAAACATCCCTAAATTTCTCCAAACAGATAACCTTGGTCTGATTCTAGAGTTCTGATGATAGAAGCTACCACCCTTTCCCTGCAAGTACTCATTCAATACATCAGAGGAGACTTGGGGGTTAAATGCTGTTGAACTCCAAGTTTTGAACACAGAGACATCCAGTAATGTAGGAAATTTATCTAAAAATCTATATATTAAAACAGTATGGAATCATCTTAAAGTTAGAAATGTGGGAATTTTCTTTTGCGTGATTCAAGAATTTATTTTTATCTTTCCTTTCATTGTAGAGTGTCCTCTAGTGCTCTAAGGAATCAAAAATTATTTTTTGGAAATATATTATTCAAAATAATTTGTCCCCATTTCACTTTGGAGAATCATGTTAGTCACCTATAATACTCAACTACTCAAATTCTTATGTATTCTGATGGCTCCAAACCCATTATACCTGCTACTTCCATACTTAAGTGAGCCCAGGTGCCGCTTGCACACATTCTGATTTAGCAGGTCCAGGCTAAGGCTTAGAGATCTGCTACTTAACATCCCAGGTGATTCTGATGCAGATTTTCCATGGACCATGATTTGAGAAACACCACTCTACATACCCTTTCTCTGTGTTGCTTTTCAGAAAGAGCTCAATGATTATTAAGTCGCTTTTCTTATAGTAAATATATCTTTCTCTCTCTGAGGGTCAAACTGGTACAATCCACACTTCTGTCAGGTTACTGGCCATCCTATGAGTCACTACTTCACTTTCTTCTTCCTTTTAAATGGACATATCTGGGGGAAGAAAGGTATGGATGATTCAAAAGGCATGTCCCCATAGGATGAAATGAGTACAGATCTGCTGGCTGCTGGACACTGTACAAAAGCCCCAAATACTAAGGACCAGCATTGTGCAGCCCCAGACCCTTAGGCAGTCTGGCTGAGATGTCCGTCACTGATTGATGGGACAAAAGTCATAATATAAACCCTCTTTTTCAAAATTAAGATGTGGGACTTAAAATGTCCCTGAGCAAAACTCCTTACTCAAAGAACAAATTTCAAAATTGTAATCACTGATGTATGTGCACTGTGCTTTGTGGCACCATGCACCATTTGCAGTCTATCTTAAATAAAGAATACTGGCAATCCCTTAACTTGTGAGATCTCTATAACATCCAAATGGTAGCTTAAGACTGTCATGTCCTGCAGTGGTACAAGAAAATTCATATGATCTAGTTCTTATTCCAAGGATTTATTTTTATCTTACTAACCCTTTAGCTCAAGAGACTTCACCGCCTGATCTGCAGGTAACAGTTTGGGCTTCCTTACCTCTTTCTATCTCCACCAAAAAGACTAGTTAAGTAATTCTTGGGCAGTTTATATTTGCAGCCAAATGTTGTTTGGATCATGTATTTTTAATCATACTAGTATTTTTAAATTTTCTATTGTGAATCACAATCTTTTTAATTCCCAAGAACCAATGGATGAAAATTGCTATGAACAAATGAAAGCCCGACCAGAGAAATCTGTAAATAAGATGCAGGAAGCCACCCCATCTGCACAGGTGAGTTTTGTTTTCTGTTTCCACATTTGCACATTTCAAGAGCATAAGAGTAGTACATTATGATACACATCTGAAATAGCCTGTTAGAAATTTTGCAATCAATCAGATGTCAAGTTCTGGGACCTGAGCTCTAACTCAGGGTCATGTAAACAGAACTCAAACCATATTCAAAGAGTCAAAATTGTACACAATCACAAAGGCAATAGATTTTAAGGGAATAATAGGATTATTCCTAAGTAATCTATTAAGCTTTTTCTTTCTGATTGAAAATTTTGTGTATATCACAGAGATAATATAATATAGAAGGTGACACACGGATAATGCTCACAAGACCTAAATGTCAGGAATTCAAAATACAGAGCTGGGGTAGGGAGAGGGAGACCTTTAGTTATAAGATAAATTAGCTAGATACAAAACATCATATCCCTATTTTAAAAGGCAGATGACTTTCAATTTTAATACAAGTCCTGTGGCTGTGGTCTTATGGCAAGAGATTGCAAAATATACACACAGTTTATGTGGACGTAGGCAGGACAAAAACCTAAGGAGAAACATAAAAATACAGGAAGAAATGGATAGTTTCTCTTTTTCCTACCACAATCTGTTCAACCTCTTCAGTTTTAGTTCTAACTTTATTAAAAGCCATTAGAAATTTTTAGCCTACATGCTCCTGAAATGCTATACATTTCAATTAAAATAGTTTTTCTTCTCCTCTCAGATCCTGTCTTGTTACTGCCTAGAAATGGTAATAGAGCCAGCATTTCCTAAGCAATTTTTACGTGTTGGTCTTGTACTATGTGCTTTATGTTCATTATCTCCTTAGATTCCTATGAGGGAGGCAGCATTATCATTCCCATTTTACAAATGCTCACAAAGGATGAAAACTTGCCCAGAACACTTAGGTACTAAGTAAGTAGACAGAATCCAAACTTAGTCCTCTCTTACAGAACATTCTCTTCCCTAAAATGGCTCACATCTTGAAAATTTCCCAGTGAGGTAGAATTTTACTCTTTTTCTTTAGATAAATCCCCTAAGAAATCAAACTTTTAAACTTTTTTTTTTTTTTGAGACAGAGTTTTGCTCTTTGTCGCCCAGGCTGGAGTGCAATGGCACAATCTCCACTCACTGCAACCTCTGCCTCCCGGGTTCAAGCGATTCTCCTGCCTCAGCCTCCCAAGTAGCTGGGATTACAGGTGCCTGCCACCATGCCCAGCTAATTTTTGTATTTTTAGTAGAGACGGGGTTTCACCATGTTGGTTAGGCTGGTCGCAAACTCCCGACCGCAGTGATCCACCCACCTCGGCCTCCCAAAGTGCTGGGATTACAGGCATGAGCCATCGTGCCCAGCTGAATATTTTTTAACTAAGAAACCAAGATGTAGTAGGAGTTGGGAAAAATATGCTCACCAAATCTGCCATATAATGTTTAGTTAATTATAAAATATATTTTAGATAAACATATGGAAAACCTGCATGATATAATATGATTTGCTAAATCCATGATAATAAAAAGAAAACCTCTCAAGGAAGGTTAAAATACATTATCTGAAGTGTAGAGATTCACAGCACTTTAGTTGTAAAAGTACTGAGAATTCTGAATAGAAGTTACTATTTAATACACATGACTTGTACAGGGTAGCTTTATTTGACCTGCATCTGGCTTTCACTCAAGTGAAAATTATGCAAAGCCTTAAAATGTCTTTAAAAGCCTGCTCTTTTGTAAATTGTGTATTTAAAGGTACTTCTAAGAAAATTAGTCTTTTCTATTATACTATTCTCATAAATTTAGTTTCACAAATTAGAGGTAATATCTTCGTATTTGCTCAATTTTATTTCACTACAGTGTTTATTATCATAAAAAAACACTACCTAGTTTGCTACTACAATACCTACTTTGTTACTTTGGTCAACCACAAAAGCATAAGGAACTAGGATATTATGCATAAAGCTTGATAGACAAAGTGTTTCTTCGTTGGAAAAAATGTAAATAGGCTCCTTGGCCTTTGAAAATGATGTGTACAGTTCAGAAATTGTAATTTTAGTATCTCAGTCTTCTATTAACTAGGAAGAGTTAATCAGAAAGCCTAGTAATAAAGTGAGTTCACAAGAGTCCCCAAATCCCAAAACATTTGAAAAATACAAGTGTGAGCTTGCTCCTCTTCTCTTCATATCCAAATCTCTAATCAATCTTTTCCTCCTATGTCAGAAGCATCCTCTCTCCTTTCCAAAGCCAATGCTCTTATTCATGATCTTGACCCTTTCTCCTAATTATTTCAGGATCTTGTACTTTCAATTGTTGAACTTTTCTCAAGTTTCCATTTTTTTAATGAATCATTACTATTTGCCTACCAATATGTGAAAGTCCCTCCAATATTAAAAAAAAAAAAAACACCTTACTTGAACTGTTTTTCCTTCTAATTTCTAAACTGATTCTTAGCTTCTTCCTCTATTGTTTTGATTTCTTTGGATAGATACACATTCATTTACCCTGGCTATGTGTTTTCCACCCATGCACTTAACTAACACTGCAGTGTGGAAGTCTCCAGTGACTATTAAACATACAATTTGTGGTCCTTTCTTAGGACTCACATTCTTTAACTCTGCAGCACTTGATAAAGTTGACCAAGTGTTGACCACACATGCATTATTTGGAATGCTTTCAGTTATAAATGAAGAAAACAGGTTGAGATTAAATTAGAAATAACTTGACAACAGTATATGGCAGTGGGAAGAAACTAGAGCATGGATCCAGTTAGGCAGCTATTACAATTTTTCCAGAAATGAGGATTTTAAGACTAAGAAGCTAGACACAACAACAACAACAACAACAACAACAAAACCACACAGCCAGGTGTGGTGGCTCACGCCTATAATCCCAGCACTTTGGGAGGCCGAGGCGGGCGGATCACCTGAGATCAAGTGTTCAAGACCAGCCTGGCCAACATGGCGAAACTCCGTCTCTACTAAAAATACAAAAATTAGCCAGGCGTGGTGGTGGGCACCTATAATCCCAGCTACTTGGGAGGCTGAGGCAGGAGAATCACTTGAACCTGGGAGGCAGAGGTTGCAGTGAGCTGAGATCGCACCACTGCACTCCAGCCTGGGTGACAAGAGCGAAAGTCCATCTCAAAAAACACACGCATGCACACACACACACACACACACACACAGCAGAGGGTATAAATAGAACCATCTTTTCTATCTGGCAGAGAATATAAAATGTTTCACTATTAACATGAAAACAAGTGCCAACGGGGAGATGCTTACTTACGCATTAGAAATGTTGTTAATCCAAATGTTATTTCTTCACCCTGTTCCTGCAAATCAATACAATTTTGGCCTAGTCTTAAAGAGTAATGCTTAATACATAAATCTTTGGTTTGTTCAATGGCTGTCTTAAAGTTTTAGTCTACAACTTTTCATAATTATAGTGCTACCTTACTTTTGAACAGTAGTTATAACTTTCATATACATTATCTCTATGTACTAACCATAACAACACTATGATGATTTGCATTTTCTAGGCAAGAAAATTGAGGTTCAGAATATTTTTAAAAACCTGACCAAGATCCCATGATCACTGTATGGCAGAGCTGGGATTCAGTCGTAGTCTTTCCAATGCCAAATTCAAGGTCTTGCCTTTAGCATGTTGCTTCCCCTAGATAGCCTAGTTTCCTGTCTTTCTTTAGTATTGACCCAGGTCTAGTCCGGAGAAGCCCACTGGGCCCTCTTGGATGTGAATGGATATCTCCAAGGCCAATCCAAAATGAGCTCAAAAGGGAACTGGGGAAGGCAGATAAGAAAATAATAGGGAAAGATAAGAAATTTAGTTATTTGCCAGATATCTATCATGTAAGTGAATATTGTTATCTTTATACTTCTGAATCTTAAAAATGTAGAAAAACTGGGGACTTTTGTGGTACCATTAAATGACCAATTGTTAGGTACATGTAAAGTAGACCCTTGTGATTTGGTAAACTCCTTCCTATCATGCTTATTCCTACTTTAATAAACTGGAGTATCGTTACTTGGTAAGAGCGACACAGGGCCAGAACTACCTTAGGTGGAGGTGGAGGTAGAGGCAGGTAAGAATCAACCTAAAATGTTCATGTACTGTTAGAGTATAATAAAGAAATAAAAATCTAGGAAAAAGTTTCATCTAAGCACTTTTTCAACTCAAGAGTGTTGGCTGACTATAGTTTTCTGTTCTGTTTTTTGTTTTTGTTTTTTGTACTGACAAATTTGGCAAAACAAGGTAGGTGAGGCCTAGAAAACAAGTTACTTGGTTTTCATACGCCACAGAAATTTCCAGAAGTCAAGCTAAAGAACAGACTAACAATGAAAAATTAACATCCCTTTCTTTTAGGCAACCAATGAAACACAGATGTGCTACGCCTCACTTGATCACAGCGTTAAGGGGAAGCGTAGAAAGCCCAGGAAACAGAATACTCATTTCTCAGACAAGGATGGAGATGAGCAACTACATGCAATAGATGCCAGCGTTTCTAAGACCACCTTAGTAGACAGTTTCTCCCCAGAAAGCCAGGCAGTAGAGGAAAACATTCATGATGATCCCATCAGACTGTTTGGATTGATCCGTGCTAAGAGAGAACCTATAAACTAGCTGGACCATGATCTAGTTCAATGATTTGGCTCCTATTGAAGATGGCTTCTAAGAAAACAAGATGCACAGAGGACACAGAAGGACTTGGCAGCAGGGTGATGACCTGATCATTTGTTGATGGGATGGTGGCTTACCTCTTATTCACAGCTTACACTTATGCATGCCAAATGTAAGGCCATGAAAATCAGTATTTCAAATAACTTAAAAAATGCTTTACTACTAAAATGTAAAAAATTAATGTGCTCACCTCGGCAGCACATATACTAAAAATTAATAAGACCCAGCTTGAAAATTGAGCCTGATAACAAGATTACAAATTCACAATACCTAATACTTAGGGAAATATAAAAATTTAAGCATGAATGTGTTCTGGAACACGTTAGAAGAAAAATAAAAGCCAATGAGTTTTTTTTTAATTCTCCTTTCTCACCAATGGGCAATAGCCCATAATTGAAATAAATTTCTGATTGAAAGGTATAGGAAACATTAAAATGCATTACTAAGAGAAGTAATATAATTTTCTTACAAAGTATTTTTCCCAAAGATAGCTTTACTATTTCAAAAATTGTCAAATTAATGCATGCTCCTTACAACAAACAAATATCAAAAAGAGTTTAGGAATTCTACTAGCCAGAGATAGTCACTTGGAGAAACTTTCTATATATCCTTCTAAATATTTTTCTGGGCATGCTTATGTATGTACATCAGTTGTTTCTTTTTATTTTGAACCAAAAATGTGGTTTCTTTTGTACACATTACTTAAACTTTCTTTCCAGTCAACAATATATTGTGGATTTATTTTCACTGTTATATTTAACTATATATAAATACGCATATATTGTAATTTTAATGTCTGCTTAGCACCCCACTGATAACCAAATCACAGTTTATTTAAATAATTTTAATGACTTTTCAAAAACAATTTATTGATGCAAAAAGCAAGGTTGAGATGACAATGTTTCTTTCAATAATTAAAAAATACTGCTTCACTGTCTTCTCTCTGTTTCATCAGAAACACATACTATAATACTTGTCTCTGTCCTTAAGTGTGATACACGCTATTTTTCTGATTGTTAAGACTTTCCTTATTACTGGTTCTAATTTGATTATAATATGCCAAGGTATGGTTATTTTTCAAGTGTCTTGTGTTTGGAATTTGTGGAGCTTCTTAGATCTATGTATTTATATTTTCATCAAATTTGGGTGGGGGAAAATGACCAATATTTTTTTTTCTGTGACCCTCCGCATTTTCAAGTTTTTCAATTACTTGCAAATGGTCCCACATTTTACTTATCTGTTTATTTTATTTCATTCTTTTTTGTATTTCATTTTGGATAGTTTTTCTTGCTACATCTTCAAGTTCATGAATCTTTTTTTTCTAAATGATCTAATCTGCCATAATCCTAGACAGGACTTTTTAATCTCAGATAACTTAGTTTTTATTTCTATAAATTTAGTTTGGGTCTTTTGTCCCCCATATTTCATGTCTCTAACGTACTTAATCTCTCATCTAACATCTTCAACCAATGGATACAGTTGTAACAACTGTTTTAATGCTTCTTAAAATCTACTAATTCTGTTATCTGTCATTGTGAATGAGTTTCAAGTGATTTATTTTTCTCATTATGGGTTATATTTTTCTGCCTCTCTAAATGCCTGATGATTTTTAATTAGGCAGAAAATACTGTACATTTTCCTTTGTTTGGCAATGCATATTTTTGCATTCTTATGTTTTTGAGCTATGTAGCTGAAAACTAACTTGATAGTTTGTTTTCAGTGACATAGCTAACTGAAAACTATCAAGTTACTTGAACACAATTTGATCATTTAGAATCTTGCTTTTAAATTTTGTTAGATTAAGCCAGAGCAGCTTTTAGACTAAGTTAAATTTAGTTTATTACTGAGGAAAGATCCTCGTTAGTACTTAGTACCACCGTTCATGAATTAGGACGTTTTCCACTTTGGCTGTTGATAATCGACACTATTCCCAGCCATGTGTGAGTCATGGGCACTGTTTTCTTTATTATTTTCAGGTGGGTTTTTCCCCAAGTTCGGGTAGTTTTGTCACTTGCGTGCACTGACCAGTACTTAACTGAATACTTGACGGCGACTCTTCACATATCTCCAGAGTTTTCTCTACACGCAGCTCTCTTCTCTCCAGTATTCTGCCTTTTTGACTTCTCTTGACCTGGAGCTCCATCTCCTCAATTCAAGAGATCAATGGTCTTTTACCTAGGTTTCCTCTACCTGCTCCAAGGCCTGAAACTTTTCTCCAGGCAATAAGATAGGATGATAGGAAGGTTTACCTCATTTGTTTCCCATCTTTCAGGGACCGACCTTTGTCCTTCATTGCCTGAAACAGTATGTCAAGTAACACTGTTTCATCTACTTTGTCTGGAGTTTAGTTGTTTCAGCTGGCAGAGTATGTTCAGGTAGTAGGGTAAATCTAGGATGTTATTCTATCTTTGTCAGAAGCAGAAATCCAAGGCATTCTTACCACTTTACTGTAATTCTATAGTATATTTTTAGTGTAATTTAGTATAATTCGATAAGCTAAGCAGGATCATTTGAAATGTGAGTAAGCTATGAATTACTGATCATCATGTAATTATTAGGGACTATATATACATCACCTTTGGCAGTTTTCAGGGCTTATGTTCCAGAAGGAATACAGGATGAATATCCTGTATTTGGAAACAGAAGTGTTTCTGATTTTTAGATTTTGGAATATTTATTCATATGTAGTGAAGTATCTTAGGGATGCGACTTAAGCCTAGACAGAAAATTCATTTATGTTTATATACACATAGCTTGAGGGCTATTTATGTAATATTTGTAAATAATTTTGTGCATTCATCACATAATGTCAGGTGTGGAATTTTCCACTTGTGGAGTCATGGCACTCAAAAAGTTTTCCACTTTGGACCATTTTGGATTTTGGATTTTCAGATTATGGATCCTCAGCCTGTATCATTATAAGCCTTAACATTTCAACTGGAAAAAAAATATGTACGGAGGAAAAGAAAAAGAAAAATCATGACTAGAAAACAGATGAATTCCAAGTCTTGAGATTTTCACTGACAATGTTTTAAAGGTCCGATAAGTTGAACTCAAATCTCAAAAATAGGAGGGATAACTCATTTCCTTTTGGTATTAAATGGCTTATTTCTAGCAGAGTAAAGGGAGGGTGATTAGTTTAGACATATGCTTTA